>NC_000003.12:164614664-164766180 GCF_000001405.40 Homo sapiens | reverse complement strand
GGGGGAAAACTAGAAAACACAAATATGTGGAAATGAAACAATGCATTCCTGAACAATCAATGGGACAAAAGAGGAATCAAAATATAAATTAAAAATTACCTTGAACCAATAAAAATGGAAACACAACACATCAAAACTTGTAGAATGCAACAAAAGTAGTTCCAAGAGGAAATTATATAGCAATAAATATCTACATTAAGGAAAAACACATGTCTCAAAAAAACAACCTAATTTTAGGTTCTTTTGCAAGGAACTAGAAAAGGAAAAACAAACTAAGCCCAAAGTTAGCAGAAGGAAGAAAGTAAAGATTAGAGCAGAAACGTATTGAAACAGATTAGAAAAACAATCGAAAAGAATAACAAAACAATAGAAAACAGTTTTTCTTTGAAAAGATGAACAAAATTGACAAACATTTAGCTAGACTAAAAAAAATTAAGAAGACTCAAATAAATTGTAAGTGAAAGACAAGACTTTAGAACTGATACCACAAAATATATAGACTCAAAAGAGACTACTAAGAAAAATTATATGTCAACAAATTGGATATTTTAGAAGAAATTCATACATTCCCACAAACATACAATTTTCCCAAAGCAACTATGATGAAATAAAAAATTTAAGTGGACCAATAATGAGTAAGAACACTAAATTAGTAATCAAAAATCTCCCCAGAAAGAAAAGTCCCTGGCCACATGGATTTACCAATGAATTTGACCAAACATTTAGAGAATAATTAGCACCAATTCTTATCAAATTCTTCCAAAACTGAAGAAGAGGACCACTTCTAAACTCATTCTAACAATCCAGTATTACTCGGATACCAAACCAGACAAGGATAGTACAGGAAAGAAAACTACAAGCCAATATTCCTGATAAAAAGATGTAAAAGTCTTCAACACAATAAGCAAACCAAATTCTACAGCACATGAAAGGCTCATACACCATGATCAAGTGAGATTTATCCCTGGGATACAAGGATGGTTTGACATCAAAAAATTAATATGATAAACCCCTTTAACAGAATAAAGGATAAAAATGACCTGAACATCTCAATCGATGCAAAAAAAAAAAAAAAAAAAAAGCATTTGACAAAGTTCAATATTCCTTTGTGGTAAAAGCACTTAAAATTTAGGAATAGAATAAACATACCTCAACAATAAATACCATATATGACAATCTCATGGTGAACATTATATTCAAACATGAAAAGCTTTCAACTTTTTGTCTAAGATCAGGAACAAGGCAAGGATGCCTACCCTCACCACTTCTATTCAGCATAGTCCTGAAAGGCCTAGCCAGAGCAATTCAACAAGAAAGAAGAAAAGGCATCCAAATCAGACAAGAAGTAAAATTGTCTTTGTTTGCAGATGACATGGTATGTGTAGAAAAACTTAAATATAACACCAAAATACTGTTAGAGATGATTATCTAAGTCAGTGAAGTTGCAGGATATAATATCAATAATTAAAAATTGTTTCTATATACTAAAACTGTAAACTAGTTCAACCATTGTGGAAGTCAGTGTGGCGATTCCTCAGGGATCTAGAACTGGAAATACCATTTGACCCAGCCATCCCATTGGTGGGTATATACCCAAAGGAGTATAAATCATGCTGCTATAAAGACACATGCACACGTATGTTTATTGTGGCACTATTCACAATAGCAAAGACTTGGAACCAACCCAAATGTCCAACAATGATAGACTGGATTAAGAAAATGTGGCATATATACACCATGGAATACTATGCAGTCATAAAAAATGATGAGTTCATGTCCTTCTTAGGGACATGGATGAAGCTGGAAACCATCATTCTCAGCCAACTATCCCAAGGACGAAAAATCAAACACCACATGTTCTCACTCATAGGTGGGAACTGAACAATGAGAACACGTGGACACAGGAAGGGGAACATCATACCCTGGGGCCTGATGTGGGGTGGGGGAAGGGAGGAGGGCTAGCATTAGGAGATATACCTAATGTAAATGACAAGTTAATGGGTGCAGCACACCAACATGGCACATGTATACATATGTAACAAACCTGCACATTATGCACATGTACTCTAAAACTTAAAGTATAATTAAAAAAAACATGAACTATCTTAAAAATAATTTGAGAAAAAATTATATTTATAATAAAATCAATAAGAATAAAATACTTGGGAATAAATTTAAATATGTAAGACCTATACATTGAAAACTATAAAACATTGATAAAACATATTAAAATATATGTTAATGAAACACCAGATGTTTGTTCTAGGTCCTGCTAAATGCTGCACAGAAAGCCAATCACTGAGACAACAAATAGTGCCAAGAAAGAAACCTTTTATTGGGTGTTGCAGCAAAGGAGATGGCGATCAGTCTCAAATTTGTCTCTCTGATTGCCTAAAATTAGAGGTTCATATACCCGGAAGAAATGTAACAATGTGTAGGAAAACAGGAATTTGGGAGGCAGAAGGTTGCAATCAGGATGAATGATGGTGCTTGGCCCCTCATTGTCTGAATATGATGATCTGGTGAGTTTCAGTTCTTTGATACATTTTGAGAGGCCTGAGGATCCTTTACTGAGAGAGAAACTCAGATAAAATTTATGTAAATTTCAAGCTTTAAGACCACAAGGATCAATTTCTATGTGTATCCAAAAAAACCTGTCTATAGGACTACTGGGTCAGCTTCATATTAGAAATAAATGGAAAAATATTCCATGTTCATGAATTGGAAGAATTAATAATTATTCAGTGGAATACCTATCAAAGTTCTAATGGTATTTTTCTCAGAAATAGAAAAAAATCTTAAACTTCATATAGAACCTCAAAAGATCCCTAATAACAAACAATTTTGAGCAAGAGGAACAAAGCTAGAGGCATCACACATTCTGATTTCAAATTGTGTCACAAAACAATAGTAATCAAAACTATATGGTACCGACATAAAAGGTAGACAATTAACCCAGTGAAACAGAATAGAGGTCCCCAAAATAAATATATGCATATCAGGCCAATTAATCTTTGACAAGGGCTCTAAGAATACAAAGTGAAAACAGGATAGTTTATTTAGTAAATTATGTGTCATGTATATGTGTGTATATACATACATATGTATTTTCTTTATCCAATGGAATATTATTTAGTCAAATGAGGAAGAAAATTCTGTCACTTGAGACAACATGGAAACATAGATGGGCCTGGAGGACAGTGTGGTAAGTAAAATAAACCAGATACAGAAAGACAAATGCTACATGGTCTTACTTATGTGTGGACTCTAAAATAGTCTAGTCATAAACACAAAGAGTAGAATGGTGATTGACATGAATTGGGGGATAAATAGGGGTTGAGGAATGGAGAAGTGATAGTTAAAGGATACAAGGTTTCAGTTATGCAAGATAAATAAGTCCAAGAAGTCTACTCTACAGCAGAGTGTCTACAATTAACAATACTGTATTGTATACTTAAAATCTCTAAGAGAGTAGGTCTTTTGTGTTTTTAGAAAGAAAACAACTAAATAATAAAAATAAAAGGGTTGGGAGGAAATTGTGGGAGGAGATGAATATGTTTATGATCTCGATGATTTCAACAAGTATATACTTATCTTCAAACTCATCAAGATTAAATATAATACATATAGATTTTTACATATCAATTATCCCCCAATAAATAGGTGTTTTTTAAATAGGCCAACATAACTTTATAGTTCTATAGATTGTTTGTCTTGCTTTTTCCTCAGTGTATATTTTCCCTCAAAGTTCACAAACACTGACTGGTCAATGTTGTAGCTTAACAACATCTTAATCTCAAACCAGCATTCCCAAAGAAAGTCAAATACCAATGACATAAAGATTTAAACCTGTGGCTACAATAAGGAAAAGCAAATGCAGTTTAAAGAAATACCAAGCACCTTGATCCTGAAAACTTAAAATAAGATTAGTAATATTTTAATTATATTTTAAAATTAAAGTTTTTAATTTTACTGGATAACTATTTTTTTAAAATGTTATATTTTTAGTTTCAAGTTATCCTAATTTGTTTTCCAATTATTTATTAAAATGAGACCATGGCAACCATCTACTTTGTTAAATAACTTTATATTAAATGAGTTAAGTATGTTTTAAGTTTTGTTTTGTTTTTAATTGGCACATAATAATTGCATATGTTTATGGAGTACAGTATAATGTTTTGATTCATGTATTTACAATGTGTAATGATCAAATCAGGATAATTTGCATATCTATTACCTTAAACATGTATCATTTCTTTGTTGTAAGAGCATTGAAAATCCTCTATTCTAGCTATTTTGGAATGTATAGTATATTATTGCTAACTATAGTCATCCTACTGTTTGATGGGAAACTAGAACTTATGTCTCCTAACCATAATTTTATACTCATTGACAAACTTCTCCCATCTTCCACTCCCCCTTGCCCTTCCCAGCCTCTGGTAATTGATTTTTGTATTAGACTGTAAATGCACAGATATTTAGAAGCAATGAATGTTCCACATTTTCCTATTTCATCATCAGTAGATAATGTACATCTTGTATTTTTATCATGTCTAGTAATAAAAAACTATCAGTAGTTGTTAAAACTTAATTTTCACAATAATCCTATGAGATATAAACATTATCACTCCAGTTTGACAAATGAGTAAATTGAGGCACGGAAGGTTTCAGTGTCTTGTACATAAATAATAGTAAAATAACATTGCATTTTGGCTACAAACTATTTGGCTCCAGAGTTTTGCCCTTAACCAATCCATATCACTGATCTACCAATTAAATTTATCAATGGATACATACTATTTTGCTATAATGATAAGAAAATGAACAGTAATACAAGTGACTAATAACACATACTCCATAGATTTTTAATTTCGTATCAACTAAATACCTCAACATCTAACAGTATAGTTTAGTTCGTGTTTATACCCAATAAATACACATTATACAAATGGATGCATGAGTGATAAGGCAATAAATGCATTAAAGATTTTTAGGCATTCTTATTTCCCAGATAATAAACCTCCTGATATTCTGAAGAAAAGTTTATATTGGTGTTAAGACTGTCTTCATTAAAATAAATGGCACATTCAAATGGTGAAAATGCAGAATTTGTTTTCAATAGAAAAAAACTTAGCATTATCTATTGTTTAAAATAAATTAATTCAATGATGTTTTAGAATTTCCATAGCTAATAGTCTCACATAACTGGAAAAATTATTTTGGCCTTGGAATTTTAATACTTTGAGCTAACTAAAATTACTGTTGTATTTGTTTTTTAAAATCTCATCCAGTCATCTGACTGATAATGTAATGAGTTTTTTCAGCTTGAGAAGTGTCTGTGGATGGCCACAGTGAATGACAGATTGAGGAACTAAATGAATCCAGGAGACAGAGACACTGCATTGCCTTTCTTGAAACATCCATCTATGGTGCCACGTTATTCAGAAATTAATGCAATTCCATAAATGAATAATGACTTAAATGTACTCATAATAATTGTTAATGCACAAACATTTTCCTCTTCTATATAATCAGAAAAATTGATGTGGCTGTGGCTAGACTCATGTTCTTTTTTTAGAGTTACTCAACAAAGGTACAACAAAGAAACTAAAAAACAAGAGAAGAAAAAACTATTTTTAATATACAGTGCAGCATGTAGATTAAATGGCAGTGCTCAAATTTTCCAAGGCTTTTGTCCTGAAATTGATAAAAAGGACATTTTTAGTGTTAGGGTCTGTAAGAGTGCCTGTCTTTGGGGAATGTCACCATTATATATATAACTGATATTTAAACATATAAATCAAGCAGTAAATATTTTATCAAGTACGAAATCAGTCCTTTCCATTGTTGAGTAAATGACAGGAAAACAAATGGAAAGTTGGATCGCTATTAAATACAATTTAAGAGAAAAACATAGTGCACATCCTGTGATTTGGGCACTTACTGATCAAACATTTGTGCAATGTCTATTTTTTGCCAACATTTACAAGTTATTGGTGATACATGTATAAAAACTAAATACTCTATTATTGAGGAATTTACTACCTACCATGAGGTCTGAAAAGTTTTTTTTTTTGAATGGTACAATGAAATATGCATCATGATAGATTTTTCGGTAAGGTACCACAAAGTGCATGGAGGAGATAGGACTACCTCACCTTTTGAAGTAAAAGTGATTATTGAAGTATCATAATTGTGCCTGTGTGTTCATGTGTGCATACAAGTGTGTGAGTGAGTGAGTGTATGTATGATGTATATATGAGTGTTTTAATCTGTCTAATCTTCTTCTGGTTTATGTGGATATCTCCATCTCCACTCCATGTGGTTCTGTTGAGACTGCCCATTACTATGTTCCCCTACCACTTCTGAGTGAGCCTATACCCCAACAGAGCGACGATGTGTTTCTCAGCTCCAAGGCCATTGTATTTAGGTGTGGAATGGTGTCTTATACAAGTCTTCTCAGAGATTCAGATTGAGATACGAACACTGGAAAAGAGCTGAGATTACTAAATAGAAATTATGTGGGTGTGGGTTTGCCAGTGAATGTAGGCTTGCCAACAGTCATGTTGCTCACACTGGAGGAGAATAAAACCAGAGACCAGCAAAGACAAGACATCCAAAGAGATAGCGTTCTGGTCACATTTTTAGGTCCCCAAATTTATGCATGAGTGAAATCAAGCAGAAGCAAGCTGTGCCAAAAAACAGAAAAGTTTCTGAAAATCTGAGCCTCTGATTCTACCCCAGCTTGTTTTTTAAAGATAGTTAATGCTTTTACTTGCCATTGAATGTGTCCTGTTGATATTGGGACTACAAAGACGGTGAGGACAACATCCTAGAAATGAAGATATTTAAGCTAAATGTAAACAATAATTATGAGTAAAATAGTTGATATTTGAGTGGGTGTGAGCATGCCCTATAACTTAACAAAAATGAATAACTTGTGTAAGTTACTAAATAAGAAAGTAGTCAATAACTTATGCATGCTGAGACATTCTAGAAAAGAGTCATAGGTAAATGTTAGTTTAAAAAGAATTTTAAGAATATGTTGAGGATTTGGAATTCATGTTGAAATTGTTGAAAATATCTTCAATAATTTAATAAAGGGACTGAAGTTGTAAAAATTATATTTTTATGATGATCTCACTGGGGTATGATGGAGAGAAATATTGGCAGCAGGGATATTACCCAAAGTCTATTGCAATTCATGTGAGAAGTGACAACAGCTTAAAGTAAAGCATTTTCCAAGACATTTTAGAAGGTAGAATCTACAGTGTTTGCTGCCAGCACCATGTGAGGAGTGAAGAAACAAGCTAATTCTAACATGACTACCAGGCTTCAGGCTTGGGTGATATAGTGGTTGATGGGATAAGGGCACAAAGAAGAAAGGACATATTAAGAAGGAATAATTATATATTTCAAGTGATAGATGTATTATCAGTTTAGCTAAAATATGTTTCAATAATTTTGTAGCCACCCACCATACAGTCCTTGTGAAGTTTCCATCTAAATACATTTGGCATTCATCAAACATTTACTCCTTCGCTATCATAAGTTTTCAGTTACTTTTCCCTTCAAATCTCCTCTTTTGGACTTTTCCAATGGCAGTTCCATAAATATCGTATGTGGCTTCCATTTTCTAATATAACATCCCATCAGGTACAGATACTGTGGTTTCCTGCCATATATAACTTTTTATCTTTTTATTAATTTTGTTTCTTCTGGACTATGCTGAATTTTTCCAGTGATTGCCAACCTGTACTAACTGCTGTTATTTCTGCCAATACTCTAGGTTTCTCTGTGTATTGATTGAAGCTGTAGTTTTGTACAAAATCCATGTTCTATTTAGTGCAGAAGTTAAAGGCAGTGTTTTCTTCCTTGAGAACTTCATTCTTCCAGTTGAACACCAAAGCAGTGTTGCTTATAGCACCAAAGTCTTATAGAGGTGTATAGAAAAATTTTTTCCTTTTATTTACCTAGCCCTACGCTTACCAAACCAGAGTCTAGGCAGTGAAACAATTTTTTAATGACAGTCACCAAGTTGCACTCTTATAATTTTGGATATTGTTAATTAATCAGCATGTCTTTCTTGGATTTCTCTGCCTTAAGAGCTAAATCCCACATAGGACCTTCAATCAAATGGACTTACCTTACCAAGTTGCCAGAGGTGCTCACAACTTTCCAGTTTGACTATTATTAGATCCCTGAGAGTATGACTGACCTGTACATGTTTGTATATTGTATGGAATCAGGTAAAGTACTTTCCCCCAGTCAGTAGGAATTAATCCTCACAAATGAGTTAAGGATAGTCTTAAAACTCCCATTAGACAATTAAATCCTTGGATCTGTAAAAGAAGGACTGCAGCTTTTGCAGGTTTGCATGTTCTATAGAATCATAAATAGTACTTTTTCCCAGAGGAGATCTGAATAAACTCCTTATAAATGATTTTTTTTCTATTTGTCTACAATAATTCTGTCGTATTAAAGTGTTTTAGAATGGGGTTTGTATAAATTGCTTCTTAGGATTTGGGCTGTAGTTTTAATCATCGAATTCAAGCACACAATAAGAAAGTTTTATTTTGAAGACTCCTGAGGCTGATAGGAGTAAGCCAGCTCTGCATGCTCTGTTCAAGCTGATTCAATGTTGAGTAATGTACTATGTTCAAGGCACTCTTCAAAGCACTGGGGATGCAGCAAGTAAGCAAGAATGGCAAAACCTATGTCAGGAGGCTTATATACTAATGGAGTTCATGCAGTGCTCACAGTCTATGCACATGCTAAACCCAGGATTTGAAGAAAATGAGCTACCACTTAAATTATATAAAAAATAACTAGAATTTCAATTTACAAAAAGACTGATTGCATACTGCACTTTCAGAATACAAAACATAGTGTCTAAGGAGTAAGTAAAGAGTAAGACATAAGTAAAGAATGATTGATTTGTTGTCATCAATCTTCTTTAATCATGCTCTGGTATCCAGATGAATGTGTGCGTGTGTGTATATATATATACATATATATATTATATATATATAATATAATATATAATATATATGCACAAACTCATCTAATGCAATGATTTTTTCCTTCTACATTGAGATCTGTTTTTTCAACTTATTCTTTCACTCCTTTTCCCCCATTCTCAGGCTGTATACGACAGCTCTAGAATTTGAGTGAGTAGCAAAGAAGAGAAGCACAAGAGAAAAGTCCTACTTAACTGGTACAGTTACCATCTGCATTTGGTGTCCTGTAGCTACATTGTATTCTAAAATTCTAAATACTTATTTTTTTTATTATTTCACGAGGTCCTTTGAGAGCTTTATTTTATACCTCTTCTGGGCTGAGAATCTTCAGTTCTCTAGTTTCTTCAAAGTGAACAATCTCATCTTTTGGAATAAACCAAATATGAACGGGATATTGTCACATTTCTGCTTCTTACACTTTAATGGCATCTTGTCACTCTCAGAATAAAATGCAAATTTCTTACCACTGCCTCTGAAGCCTGTGGAATCTGTCCCTGAGTATCTTCCAACTGTAACGGGCACCTCTTTGTTCACTCTTTTTGTGGCCTAGGGACATATGGCTCTTGTTTCCACTCTAGATATGTCCCATATTGTGATTCTTTCTGACTGATACTTTACTTCCAACTATCTGTATCTATTCCATTCTTCAATTCTTAGTTTAAATATAAGACAGGACTTTTGTGTAAAAAACATCTAAGTAGGCCTACCCCTTTATGTTTCCATTTTAGTGTGTTAATTTGCAAATGCATATTCATTTATTAATAAAAACAACTCTGGAATAGGGCATATGGCCTATGCCCATTTAAACAGAGTGATAAAATTTCTATGAGGATAATGTTAGAAAAACAACTGTTCAGATTATCTGAGGTTTTCAAAAACTTATGAAGAGAGAAACAATTGAGTTTTGGTTTTCAGTAGATATAGAATCAAGGAAAGGTAAGCTCCAGGTCTTAATGCTTAGGTCAAATGGAATAATGTTACTAAAACTAATAATAATGATAAATGAAGGAGGTTAGAATGCTTTGACAACTTTTAAAAACATTTCTTCTTTGTCAAGATAAATGCTTTTGTTCTTGAAATTATGGAAAAATTCTTATAAGAATAAGATTATGAAAGTCTTGCATTGGTGAAGATGTGAGATCACCAATGAATGGAAAGGAGATACAATTTCTAGTTTTATTTGGATTGCAATGCAAAGGGCTGAGGAAAATTTTGGAAATGATAGAAAAATTATTGCTTATCATTGAAAAAAATAAATGGGAACAAAGGGAAAATTTCACTAGTAAATGTTCTCCCATATGAGGAAGGGTGTAGACTGATGATTATGACATTAATACCAAGCAGAAATCTGTAAGACTATTGTTATATAAAGACACTTTGTAAGTATCTAAAAACAGGATAAATTATGCTAATCTAAACTCGATAAATTTTTATAAGGTCACTGCACAAATAAATTCAAGCAATGTTATAAATACTTATATTTCAGAAATATTTAACAACATTCTAACACAATATATTTAGGCCAAAATAGAAAATTGTGATCTAATAAGACATCTAAAAATCTCAAAAGCCACACTCCAAAGTTACCAATTAAGGAGCCAACATAAACTTCAGAATAGGCTTTTGGTATCACTGTTGCTGTCCCTAGTCTAGATTTCTGATTTGAATAATAATATGGATAGAAATATGTACATATATATATTGTTCTTTAAAAATCCAGAAAATATAATAAATATGCTGAATGCAAAAATCAATATCCAACAGATATGGAAATTCTAAAAACACAGACCTTAATAACTTGTAATTTAATCAGTAAAAATTAGAGTTTGTAAATGTTACATGGAATTTCTCAGGGTGATAAAATTCTAAATCCTGGTTTCAGAAGTGGTGTTAAAATTTGGAATTGTACACCAAAATGTGAATTTTACTATATGGATTTAAACAATTTTAAATAAATAAAACTTTCTTTTTACCTTTTTTAAAAGAAGATTGAGTCCACTGTAGCTGTCTTATTTTTTTAGACAGAATACTTTAGGAATTGTATGAATGACTATTTTGTCTGAGGAAGAGTTAATGCTTATGTTTTCAGATATTGTGTAAATAATAAATAACATTTTAAAGATATAAATTTATTAAATCATACAAATATTAATTTTAAATTTAAGAATAAAAATTTTACTATGTATTGTAAAACAATTTTTCAGAACTTACAGCTAATTCTGTAAAGAACAAATTCATAGAGCATTTAGATTATAAAGTATCTTGGTATTTTCTCTTGTGGGATATCCAAATGAAGATAAACATAATGGTTACAAATTGGCTCTTTCTATATTCAGTAAATAATGTTTATTGCTTTGTAGTGTACATTAATAAAATGCTTCACACTTATCTACCTGTTACTTCTAAAGTATTATAGATTATCCCAGTTCCATTTACCTGAACTTCCAAACACAAATTTCTAAAATTTCTTGATTTTGCATTTTGTAATAAACTGAATATTGGAAATAGATAACTCTCTATCTGTATTCACAGACAATTATCAGAGGGCCATTCCTGGAATAGTAGCATCAGCAATGCAAATACAGGGGCTTAACCCAGGCTTAGTGAAGCAGAGATGCTGGGGTCAAAACTCAGCATATTACAAGTCTTTTAGGTGATTCTAGTGCAAGCCAATTGTGAGAACATCTGTGTGATAATATCAGAGACAATTCTAATACAAACCAGCATACAGTTTACAAAAAAAATTAAATGAGTTAAATTATCATCATAATAATTAGTGGGAAATGTCAGCAATTACTAGGGCCTAAAGGAGAGAAGAACCGAGACTTGCTCATTCATTTACAGATATCGATTACGCATCTGTGATGTTCAAGTTGCTGGAACTATGTGCTAATCATAGAGAAGTGACAAATCTGTGCCCTTGGAGCTTACAATATGATACAAATGGAAAAGAGTAACAGAAAAAGCACACACCTAAAGTATAAGTACATATTTTATACTTTTACATAGAGCAAAGTATGAATTGCTATGAAAGAGTTTAAAAGAAAGACGTAATTTAGATTCAGGGTCAGAAAAAAACTTTCTGAGGAATTTATAGTTCTAAGATGACCTGAAAAGTGAACCAAAACTTTGAGGCAGTGGTTGTGGGGTGGTGGAAGACTAGAGCATTCCAGGCAAAAAGATGAGAATAACATGCACAAAAGCCCTGAATTAGGAGAGATATTGTTCGGTTCGAGATAAATCAAAAATAGTGGATGCTGCGAGGTACCTGGATTCTGTCTTAGGATGGAGGCACAGTCCTGTGCCCTTTGCCTCAATTTGCAATGATTTTGAAAGGCCATCGAAGCTCTAGAGTACCCTGTAGTACCAACTGAGGTTGTTCTTGGACTGCATTCCTATTCTGATTTTCCTTTTGCTTACTCTTGCTTCCTCCTTCACTTCTTTGTAGCTCTCATAGAGATCCATAATAAACCTGAGCCCAAGCCTCTGACTTTAGAGTGTGTTTATGTAGAAACTATGGAGCCCAGAAAGAGAAAAAGGCCATTTAAGTGGAGGGTAGTTGAAAAGGGGTAAAGCAGCCTCAGGTGAGCCTGGGCAATTAGGCACAAGACTGATACAAGCTCACGTAGAAGATAACACAGTAAATTCTAGTGCAATATGTAGCCATTAAAGCGTATTTAACAGAGGGGTTAAGAGATATGACTTAAGATGATAACACTAGTCACTGTATAGAAATAGAAAAGGAATAGTTTTCCTTCACCTGTTAATATAAAATAAAAGAATTGGCATAATTTTTCTCTTATGATGATATTCTAATCTTAATCTTGTGTTGCCTTTCATATTTAGACGTCTCAATCACTGCCTTTCATAGGACAAGAATACAATTTTTTCATAAGTGAGATTTTAAGTTCCTTGGAAAAAGGCCTAAGCTTTCTAACTTTGAATTCTCAGAAACAATTATCATGATTCTGAATACATAGTAAATGCTCAATTCTAAAGTTAAAATAAAAGTTGCCTTGGGCACATGAGTTGCTAGAAAGGCGTTGGCTCTCTTCAAGATGCCTCATTTGTCCTCATTATTTTTGAGTGTTCACGTTCACTGCAGCTGCCTGCAGTCAGTTCTTAAGCCTTGGCAAGCACAAGAACTGGATGTATCAACATACTAAGAATAGATCTGTATCACGGGAAAAGGCTCATATTAACTGAGTCCTGAGAGACAGATGTTTAAAGCCTGAACTCAAAGGTAGATCAGCATATTTTCTCTTCTTTGGCAAGCTATACTCAAATATAACTAAAATGCTATCTGTACTTATGCTAGACTAAAAGTCAAATTACAATCAGAAATGTGTTTGGTAAGCACAGAATCAGAAAAAGGAAAGTCACTGTGTGCTTTGAATGTGTGAAAGCATCATTCCACGAAGACAACCTTATTCATTCAAATCCAAAATATGGAATTTTGTGCTTATTAAGACCAAACAACCAAGTATCATGGTGCTTGAATAAGCACGTTCAAAATTTGCTTTCTTGATGTTTCTAGAATCAAGGAGCTATATTAAAAAATATACTTTTTCTTAATTATGTTAATTACTTTAATGAGGTTTTAGTCAATTCTTGCTAAAGTAATTGTTTTCCAAATGATTTTCTCCTATCTCTGACATGACTTTGTAGGATAATTTAGTAATTTTGCTTAAGATTCATTTTATTTCTGTTCTATGAGGGGAGGCAAGGTTTTTGGGTAGCAGCTAGTTTTTGTAATTTTTCTCTACCATTTGTGGGGTAATTAATACTACAAGAAATAATCATATAATTTATTTAGTAAATGATACCTTTTGAAACTCTTGTGTTAGTGAGCTAGTATTGAATAACTTAACACTGACTACTCAAATACATGAAGGTAGAAGAAAATAACTTTCCTGTAGATACCAAAATGTTTATTGAATGTTAATTATCTGAATTTATTGCTAGTTAAGACAGCACAGAATTACTTATGCTGAGGCTTACAGATATATGTAGGTTAAAAATATGGCTTCAGAAAACTTTTAAAAATTATCCACTGAATCTTCTCTTCTACGTTTCCTTCTGTCATGACTGTGAGGAACATGATCAGGTTATATTATAGTGCATGTGTTTTTGCAGAGAAATAATTAAATTATCTAATATGGCTCTTTTGTTCCCAAGTTGTACATAAAGTAGAATTTCATATATTTAAACTTAGACAAACTGTTTCATTCTTAAATAGATCAATAATGAATTTGGACATGTGTAGTATTTCAATGATAAATTTTAATTTTGTCAAGAGCTTAAAGGAAAAAAAGAAGTCCCTAGTGAAGGGAAAGCAGTAGGAGGAATAGCAGTGTCATAGAGTAAAATAAGTGAGTTAAAAGACCATAGTTCTGCAATTATTGGACAATATGGAATTATTGTTTCTCTGATTATTAGATTTCCTATCTATAAAATAAAGTAGTAACACATGCCCCATCCAAACAACTTACTTACTGAGGCTAATTGAAATAATGTATATACAATTATGGCCTTATACAAATGTTAGTGAAGAGTATTGTTATAAGTAAAGAAAGTAAATTATTGATAATATAGTTATAAGAGTGTCCACAGATTTTACTAATTATAATGATAGTAAAATTGGGACATGTAGATTTTAATGTGTATCTCTGCACCTATTTGGTACTAGGGAAGTGAGACAAAACTGAAACTTAAAAATAAATAAATAAATAATTATCTTACTCTTTAATCATCACTAAACAAATAACTGCACAAATTATTCATGCTTTTATTTTTGTCATTTTTATTTAGTTTCATATTTGTTTTAGGACCAACAATTAAGAAGAAACAGTTTCTTTTTAGGCCCTTCATTTTCTGCAGGCATAGGCACACTGACGTCAACTTTAATATAAATGTAGAATAAATTCGTTTGATACAGCTTTGCTGCCAAATGTAGTGGATACAAGCCTTTCCTTCTTGGTTCACTGCTTACGTGTAATGCAAATGCTATGATAGCTCAGCAAAATATCATAAGGCACAAATGCCAGATTGATTCAATTGGTAATATTTGTAATGTTGTATTTTTTTGACATTTGAAAACATACATGATGGGATGTTCAAACCATGGCCAAGTCAAGCAATAACCTCCAGTAGAAATGGTTCAAGGATCTAGAACCAGAAATACCATTTGATCCCATTACTGGATATATTCCCAAAGGATTATAAATCATTCTGCCATAAAGACACATGCACATGTATGTTTATTGCAGCACTGTTCACAACAGCAAAGAGTTGGAACCAACCCAAATGCCCATCAATGATAGACTGGATAAAGAAAATGTGACACATATACACCATGGAATACTATGTGGCCATAAAAAAAGATGAGTTCATGTCTTTTGCAGGCACATGGATGACGCTAGAAACCATCATTCTCAACAAACTAATACAGGAAAAGAAAACGAAACACCACATGTTCTCACTCAGAAGTGGGAGTTGAACAATGAGAACACATGGACACATAGAGGGGAACATCACACACCAGGGCCTGTCAGGAGGTGGGAAGCTAGAGGAAGTATAGCATCAGGAGAAATACCTAATGTAGAATGATGGGTTGATGGGTGCAACAAACAACTTTGGCACATGTATACCTCTGTAACAAACCTGCACATTTTGCACATGTGTCCTAGCACTTAAAGTATAATTTAAAAAAAAAGAAAAAAAAAGAAATGTTTCCACTGACAGTGCCACGTAATTATTCCTCTAGTGTCATCTTGCATAACCATTGCCAAAATCAGCTTTCTAAACACGTTTCATCCTGCCACTCTGCTTGTTAAGGAGCTACAATTGACCCATACTGCTTACCACTTCCAGTTACAAATTCATCTTTTATTTATTTATTGTCTCAGCAAATCTTTATTGGGCTCCTACCCTAGAAAAGAAACTCTTCTTGAGGCTGTGATGATTAAAACAAACAAATGCTCAAGAGACTTACATTCTATTTATCAAATTATTCAGAATGTCTAAAATATATCTAATATAACAAACTTAAGTATATTATGGAAATTGCATTTGTGTTTTTATATATCTGACTGCTTTCCACTTAATACAATTTGAATTTTAAAATCTATACCTTTCAACTTGCCTTTCAATCTTTACCCAAATGCCCATTCCTCTTCCTTTATCCCATCCAAATTTTTGTAAGCCTATTTTCTCTACAAGCTCATTTATAGTTTTTCTACATCACACATTTTTGCTAGAGTCACCAAAATCCAGTTTATCATTTAATTATTTGTTACTATGTTTTCATTTGTTAATTTTATCTTCCTAACTAAATTACTGGCTTCTAGGCATATAATCAGAGCATTCTAATATGCTCATCCCAGTGTGTACTTAATTTCCAGGTACTAACTATCTGATGAATCTACTGATCTAATATCTATTGAATCATTGATCTCTAAAATCAGAAGGTACTTTCAATGAACAATATTAATACAGATTTAAGATTAAAATATTTTACTAAATGTTAAAAATAATAAAGAGACTGTAGCATTTTCTACTCTGATATTTTAATGATGTACAATAATATACTTGAGAAATATGCCATTTTTGACTTTATTATTGAAGTTCAAAATGTAATAGTTAATATACAATATGTTTTTGTGTGGCAAGAACTAGTGAAATGATGAGATACAGTGCTTATTTCTACATAAGAATTTGATATTTTTTTTAAATCTCTGTTTTTGTTTGTTTTAAAATACGGATTGAAATGTTAGATTCATGATCCATTATTATAAAATATAGAACATAGAATGGTAAAGATGTATATCAACTCTATTGAAGAACATGTAAAATTGGTCACTTTGTTTTATTTTTTAACATTTTTTTCTCACAAAAATTTTGTGGCATGCAGTTTTTTGTTCTGTTTTAAGCTATATGTGTATTGATTTGGGTTTACAAAATAGGATATGTAAATGCATAATTGTGTAAATATTCTCAATAAGAATGACTAAACAAAATAATACCTTTTCGGAGTTTTTAATATCTCATTTTTCATTTGGAAAAATAACAATTATTTTGAAAAATGAACTTCATATCTAGCTCTGATATTTGTGTTTCAGAAAAATTATTAGATATTTCTACACAAAAGTGAACTTTTGCTTCTAGCCCTCTACAACTATATCCAGAATTTCCAATGATAAAACTAATTTTAAAATAGTTCTGGTAATTTCTGAATATAGTGATGTCTTTGAACAGACTAAATCTTGTGGTGTGATTAATGACCACTTTATAATCTTCATTGCATTTCTTTCTTTATGAGTAACATCTATTACAACATGTGGCATTACTAGAACTTTCCTGTTTAATTGAGTCACTAGGCAGACATTAGCTACAGAAGAAAGTAGAAAAGAGGCAAGAAAATAAAAAATGTTGTGGAGTTAATTTCCCATAGAATTCTTTATTAGTAGAAGATTGCCAGCCTAAAAGACATACTAACTTTCCTAAGGCTTTGGTTCAAGTGTTTTATTCCATTGCGCTTTTTTTCTTTAGAGCATTTATAGTACATTCTATCTTCAAAATAGTTTAAAACTGTCAACCAGCTATTCTGCACAACACCCCTTTGAGGCAGGTAACCATTATTCTCATTTACACTTGGGGAAAAAATAGTAAAAATGGTTTTAAAAAAAACTCTTAGTGACTCAGTCAGAACCCTGAAGCTGAATTCTAGCCTACTACACAGCTTTATCCTCAACCAAAGTTTTCTTTTAATAGTTAGCCTTAAAATCATGTAGGTCAAGTTTATTCAAATATTCAGTGAGTACCAGTTGAGTAACAACTCTATACAGCACTTAATTTCTGGATTAACTTATCTTGCATCCACAAAGAACTTACAAACGAATACAGACATGCACATGTATACACATTCACCCATATACACTCACAGATGTACCTATACACACACACACACACACACAGACACTCAAGAACATAAGCAATAGAGAGATTCTTTTTACCTAAAAATGATCAATGAAAGTCTCAATGAGTAGGTGTAATTTATACTACCCCTAAAATGTATATTATAAATTTTCCTCTTTTATCTCCTGTCCTACAACTTTAAATGGCTAAATTATTTCTTGCTAATATTCCATCTGTGGATAGGGTAAACATTCCTCAATTTTTTTTTCTGTGTATATGCCAAAATCATTTCCTAATATCAAAACTTAAGTATTCCTGGTGATTTTTATTAGACAAATTTGGAAAAATGCAGCATGAAAAATAAAATCTAACTTGTTTTTATGGAATCAAGTTCTTGTTTGTGCCCAGCCTCATTGGTCCTTCCTCACTTAATAGCAATAGGTGCTGTTGCACTTTGCTTTTATATACTTTTATCATATCACTTGTTAAACTCCACTAGAATTGTTTACTAGTTGATTTCCCAGCTGCCAACCACAGAACCTAGTACAATCTCCTCAAGCAGTAGTTTAAGAAATACTTATCTATGTTACTCTAAGAATGAATGATCCAGTGGAATCTAGAAGTTCTGTGTATTCCAATGTGTGGGGAGCATCCCAATTAAATGTCTTCAGAGATTAAATATTCATAACATAGTTAGGACTTAATTCTCTTTGGTAGAATCTGTGGGTTTGAGTGGAGAAGAAGGACAAGGCAAAAGTAATCTGGGACGAGATCACGGAAAATTTTGCATAGTGATGTCTATTTACAGTTTCTGATTTTGCCTATGGCCCATTCTCTCATTTACTTTGCTCTTAGAATTCCCTGCCTCATTTTTCATATTCAATCAAGCATTTATTCATTGAAATTTAATGTGCCTTTCCATATCAGGTCATTCTGCTATTGCTGCAAAATTGCTTCTTAGCTGACATCTATTAACTGATTCTTATTCCCACAAATATTGACTTATCTAATACACACAAACTATTAGATTAATATTCACGTACATCTCTTATCTATTATTCTCTGCTCTAAAAAATATTTAATGATTCTTCATTATCTTCATGATACATGCCGGGTTAATTGGTGTCTGGTTTTCTTTAGCTACATTTGTCAAAAATTGTTAAAAACCTACAAAATTTCATTGAACTATGAGAAATACAGAGTAGTAATATTTTGAAAGAATTATTACTTGTCCTAAAGTACATATATTCACCACCTCAACCTAGATAAAAGCATAAGGTAAAGATGGCAGAATCTATGAAGAAAAAATAGTAGTGTATACCCATAGTTTGGAAGGATTGCTAAAAGAATATTTAACTTCCTGATGTTCTTTCTTTGAAGCTAAGTCTCATGATTTGAAACATATGGTCCTTTTCTTCTTGGCACAAATAATATGAGTATTTTTAGTTATCCCATCTTTCTATAATAAATTAAATTTAAAAAGAGTACTTACAAAATATGCAGTTTGGGGGTGGCTAAGGTATAAGGGTTGGATATCTAAAGTGCATGCCTGAGACAAACATAATACACTGGCAGAGTTGAAGCCATTATTAGATTATTCCTTCAACTATGCATTCATTCATTTTGTTTAGCTAAATTATTTAGCTATGACAGCAAAAGAATGGTCCACGAAAGAACAAATTGATAAATTGGACTTCATCAAATTGTTTTTAAATCTCTCAAAGGCATCATTAAAAAATAAAAAGACAAGTCACAGAATAGATGAAAATATTTATATATCTCTGATAAAGGACATGTATCCAGTATATATATATATATATATATATATATATATATATATATATATATATATATATATATATATATAAAACTTCCCAAACTGTAAAAGAAAATTAAGCCTAATCAAAATGGGGACAATATTTGAACAAATATTAAGCAAAGCAGATATACAAATGTCAGAGAGTACATGCAAAGACGTTTGACACCATTATTTTTTAAGAAATTGCAAATTAAAGCCACAATGAGATGACATTAGACAGCTGTTAGAATGGTAATATTGAAAAAACTGGTTATATCAAGTGTTGGTGAGGATGTGGAGGAACAAATTCTTACATAATGTTCATGGAAATGTGTATTAGTTTACTTTTAGTGATGTAACAAATTATAGCAAATTTAATGGCTTAACGTCTTTCATAAATGTGGTACATTTATCTGAAATGAATAAGCAAGAGTAATACATTATTATTAACTAAAGTCTATACTTTATTCAAATTTTCTCAGTTTTTCTCTAATGTCCTTTTGCTATCCCAAGAGCCCATCTAGGATAACATATGACATTTAGTACTCTCCTTTGATTTCTTTTGTCTTTGACAATTTCTTAGACTTGTACTGTTTTTGATGACTTTGATAGTTTTGATAATTAGTTTAGATATTTTGTAAAATGTCCCTCGATTGAGATTTGTTCGATGATTTTCTCATTATTAGGCTGGGGTAATTTGTCTTGGGGAGGAAAATCACGGTAGTAAAGTATCATTCTTATCATATTATGTTAGAGTGTATATTATCAATGTCTTATTACTGTTGAGGTTAAACTCGATCACCTGGCTTTAGGTAATAGTCACAAAGTCTCTCCATTGTTAAGTTCCTTTATTTTCCCATCCTCACCATACTGTACTCTTTGAAGGAAAGTCTCTAATATAGCATACACTTAAGGCATGCGGAATTATATTTCATCTCCTTACAAGATGGAGAATCTACATAAATTATTTGGAATAATATGCTTTAAAATCAAATTTGGAAGTTTTTAACCATTATTCATTTAATTTTTTTATACCCTTTCTCTCTCCCATTCTCCTAGGAATCCCATTACATACATGTTTTAATGCTTAAGATTTTTATTGCATTCACTGAAGTTCTTGCATCAGTTTTTTTTATTTGTTTCATGCACTCAGTAATTTCTATTGATTCCTCTGAGAGCACACTGATTTTTCTTCTGCCATCTTATACCTCTTGTTGAGCTAATCTAGCAAATTTTTCATTTTTGTTTTCACTCCTTTAAGCTCTAGAATTTCCACTTGATTTTCTTTTATAGTTTACCTTTCTCTGTTGAAATTGACTATGTGTTATTTTCATACTTTGCTTTAGTTCTTTAAACTTACTTATAATATTCTTTTTGAATCCTTTGTCTAGCAAATCCAATATCTATGCCTACTCAGAATTAGTTTCTATTGACAGCATTTATTCTTGAGTGTGGGTGATACTTTCCCATTTCTTGTGTATCTTGTAATATTTTATTGAAAACTACAAATTTTTGATCATATAATGTATTGATCCATTTGGATTCTGTCTTACTTTTACTTTTTAATTACCTTACCTGGACTCAAACTGCAGAAACTTTTCCTCCATGTTGTATAGTTGCTGATATCTCCGCTCAGTTTTTTTTTCTTTTTAGTTTTTTCTTTTTAGTATTTTCTTTTAGCCTAGCTTACTAGCGATTGTCTAGCCTAGTAGCCAACCAATGATTTAGCCAGAGTTTGTGCTCAAATATATTAAGTTCTTCTGTGGCTCTTATTTCCAGGATCCTTTTGCTAATTTTCTGAAGGGTCTGCTGCTTACCACAACTGGGACTTAAGTTAGCAAAATTGTGTTTCTCCCTCCCCCATTATTTTCTATCAAGTTTGTCGCTTTTAAATTACAAAACTGCAAAGTTTTTTGGCCCACTTCAAATCAATTCCACTCCTCTGGAAGCAATGATTCTGATCTCCTTCCCCCTTCATTCTCCTCCCTTGCCATCTTCACCTTTGTAAAGCTACTTTTCTTGGCAACCGAACTGGGGTTGTTGATGGGAACTGCCCAAGGCAAGTTGGCAGCAGAGCTTTCCCAAAGCTCCCCTAGTTTCTCAAGAATATATGTTCTTCAATTTGTTCTCTGCCTTTGGCAACTTGCAAACCTGAAAGGATGTTTTTTTGACAATTTTGCCCAGTTTCATACTTTGCGTGTGGGAAGGATTTACCAGCATCTTCACGCTGTCTTAATGGAAATCCTTCTCCAACACTCAAAACAGAGGCCAGTGCTAACAGGGCCATTGCCTCTCCAGGTGACTCTTCTTAAGGATTAAAAAGATGTTTTAGGACAGGCATGCCTGTAATCCTAGCATGTGGGGAGTCTGAAGTGAGTGGATCACTTAAGCCTGAAGTTCCAGACCAGCCAGGGCAACCTAGTGAGACCTGTAGTTTTTTATCTTACAAAAAAAATAAATAAATAAAATTATCCCTGGTGCAGTGGCACACACATGTAATTCCAGCTACTGAGGATGGGGAGGAGCTGAGGTGGGAGAATAGCTTGAGCCTGGGAGATGGAGGCTGTAGTGAGCTGTGATCATGATACTGCACTTCAGCCTAGGTGACAGAGTAAGAGTTTGTCTTAGAAAAAAAAAAGATATTCTATTAGTATTTAATCTTCAGAGTCTGTTGTGCTGGACACTGAAAGTTATTTTCTTAGAACTAATAAAACTTTTCTAAATGATATAAAAGACATCCAACATGAGTGACCTAACTGCAACTTCGGTCAATGCAAAGTATATAATTGATAAGTAATAGCTCATTACAGAATGTATTTCCATACCACAAGCCATTGGAACTGATCTAGTAGAAATAAACTCCTGATTCTCCATTTGTTATATGTGTTGTATATTTACAATGGTTATGAAAAGTCAGTCAGTAAGGATCTTATGTTAATTTTATATTAAATGTAATTGTTAAATAAATACCTACTCTTGGTTAGTGCATCATATGAATATACATTCACCACAGAAATGTCTATGAGTAGGTGAGAACATAACAACAGCAAAAAATTCAAATTACGTAATTCTAAATGAAAAGACAAGATGATTTTATTATTGTATTTCATTCTTATTTATGAGTTTTGCCTACAGCAGTGGCATTTAAGCAGGGCAGGAAACCCCAAATTTTACCTTTTTATATATTTCCATTTTCTATGTGGAAAATATGACAAAAAATAATTCTACAGAAAAATAATAAAAAGTTTTAGCAAAAAGTTTGGTAACCACATATATAGTCCTTTAGTATTTTATATAAGATGCATATTAGATTATATACTTAATATTATGTTACATGTTCCATTTTCTTCAAATAACTCATTATTTATAAATGTACTTATTTTAGTAGACTATCTCATATTATTCAAATACTATCATGTCAAAAATGAAATCTCACTCTGCAAGTAAATTTGGGAATATATATGAATACATCTAATTTGAATGGATACTTGGAAGAAAAATATTTGCTTCTTCACACATTTTAGAGTTTAATTAATAACCCACATCAAATTCAATAGCTAATATTAAAGCTAAATTAATGTTTATTTTTAATATAAAAATTTTAAAATAGAACTAATTAAATACCACACTGTTATTACTGTGGAAGCAAAGCAAAATTTCCTTCATGAAAAACATATCTTCAAGTTATCTGAATCTGTGTAGTAGAAGCTTTAATGATTAGAGATCTCAGTAAAGTCTAGCTATAAAAAAATTCGATTTACAGCCACTTAAGTCGCTAGTCCTCATTCAGACTATTGCGATCAACTTTCTTGTTTTAATACCAGAATTCTCTGAGATGTTTCATTTGGGAAGATTATGGGATAAACCATGTACGATATTTAATTGATGCCAAAATTAATATTTTTCTATTTTAAAATCAAGACCTGTCTTACAATTTAAGATGTCTTAAAGTCATAATTAGCGGCCTTTCTCTTTAGTGGCAAATTATATAATGATGCATCATACAATCAATGAAAATTTAGATTAAACATAGATTATGTAAAGCATGTCTATGAGTATGAGTCAATGAGAAATAAAAAAAAATACATAATGTAGCTAAACTCCTCTGCATGAAATGAAACAGCAGTTTGGGGGATAAGTTCATCAGACAGTAGAAGACAGAAGAGACTATTCCAGCAACATGGCAGCATGGCCAAAAAACATTTAAGATCAAGATTAAGAGCGTGAGCAGCGTCTCTAGTGCAGGAGGCTCCCCTAGGTGAGCAGGACCTTGTCCAGGTAGAAGCAGGCTGGGCAAATGAGGCTTGTGTGACCCAGGTGGCAGGATTGCCCCGGGTCTGATGGTGATCCTTGCTTGTGGTGCACAGCCACACGTGAGTACTCATCCTTGAAGTCACCAGTGCACCCCTGTGCCTCTCTTCATCCCAGCCATTCCCAGGAGGTGGTGCTCAGGGATGCAACAGTTGCTACCGCCAACAGCTGCCCACCAGGCTTCTGCTTTCTGAGTGTAATGATAGAGTGTTACCAAGCAAAGGCGTACTGCTCAGTGTACATAGAAACCAATACCACAACACCAGTTTTTGAGAAAAGAAAAAGCTTCATGGCAAAGTCACTGGAGAGGAGACAGGAGGAAATGCTCAAATCTGTCTTTCCGAGGCTGGGATATGGGGATAGGTTTTGTTGGTAGAGGGTTACAATGAAACAGATAAGAAAATGCAATGAGGCGTGACTTTGCTAGGTCATGCTGACGTCCTTGGCTCTTAAGTCCATACTACAACAAAAGCAGGCATCCCTTGTTTCTGCATTTGGTCCCCATTCCTTGATCCAAGTAGATTGGTTCTGCTTCTGGGTGACTCTTCCGCTCTTGCTGGCTCCTAGACCACGCACCTGGCATACTTACCTGGGCATGCTCCAATTATGTAACCAGCAATGTAGGGGTCTGCTGCACTGAAATGCAACTCACAAATTTGTTATATAAAATTTGAACCAGAGTAAGCAAGTTCTAGGGTTACAAGAGAGGTGAGGGAAGCCATGTTACTCCGATGGAAGATTCTGTGCCTGCTTATGCTTATCTTTGTGAGTAGTTCATGGAGAAAAACAGAAATGGAAGTAAAAATGAAGAAACCTTGTGAAATGTAGGCCAGGATGATGAAGTCTCAGATGGAAATGAGAAAGTTATTGTGAACTGGAGTGAAGGTCACCTTTCTTCTTAGCAAATAACTTGGCTGCATTTTAACAAATGATATTTTCAAGAATCCATATATATATAGTGGTGACTTCAGGGATGACTACTAATGTGTGGCTGTGCACCACAGGCAATAATAGCATGGTAGACAGTTGCTTATCTTTGTTATTTTCTGACAATTTCATTGAAATGATAGTCAAGGAATTAAATATGTGTGTGTGTGTGTGTGTGTGTCTGTGTGTGTGTTTGTGTGTGTGTGTGTTGTAGTTTGGATGTGTGTCCCCTTCAGATCTCATGTTGAAATGTGATTCTCATGTTGAAATATGTTGGAGGTGGGGCCTGGTGAGAGGTGTTTGGATCATGGAGGTCAGAGGGGTGTATTCTTCATGAATGGCTTAGTATCATCTCTTTTGTTATACATACGTTTTCACTCAGTTAGTTTACATAAGATCCAATTGTTTAAATGAGTCTTGAACTTCTCCCTTTTGTCTTGCTCCTTCTCTCACCATGTGATGCACTGGCTCCCTCTTTACCTTTTACCACTATTGTAAGCTTCCTGGAGCCCTCACCAGAAGCATTTGCCAGCACCATACTTTCTGTACAGCCTACAGAACCATAAGCCAAAATAAAATCCTTCTCTTTGTAAGTTACCCAGTCCAGTCTGAGGTATTTCTTTATAGCAATGCAAAAAAGCATTAACACAGAAAATTGGTACTAAAGAATGGGGCATTGCTATAAAGTTACCTGAAAATGTGGAATTGACTTTGGAGCTGGGTAATGAGCAGAAGTTGGAAGAGTTTTGGGGGCTCAGAAGAGGACAGGAAGATGAGGAAACTTTTGTAGCTTCTTAGAGACTGATTAAATTGTTGCAACCAAAATGCTAATAGAAATATGAATAATAAAAGCCAGGCTGATGAGGTCTCAGGACAAGAGGCCAAGGAGGAAAGAATGGTTTTGAGAGTCAAGTCCAGGGTGTCACTGCCCTGTTCAGCCTCGGTACACTGCCTCCCACATCCCAGCTACTCCAGCTATGGCTCCACTTGTGGCTCAAAGTGTCCCAGGTATAGCTCAGGCTGCTGCTCTGGAGAGTGCATGCTACCATAAGCCTTGGTGGCTTCCGTTGGATGTTAAGTCTGGAAGCTCACAGAATGCAACTGCAAAGGAGGCTTGGCAGCTTCCCCCTAGATGTCAGAGGAGGCATTGGAAAGCCTGGGTGCCTAGACAGAAGCCTTCCCTCACACAGAAACCCTTCTAGAACAATGTTAAAGGGAAATGTGGGATTGGAGCCTTCACATAGTGTCCCTAAGGGGGTCACTGTCTAGTGGAGCTGTGGTAAGGGGCCTCTAAACTTCAGACCCAAGAATGATAGAGCCACTGGTAGCTTGCATCCTGGGCCTGGAAAAGCTGCAGGCATTCAGCTACACCCGGTGACCACAGCCAGTTCTGCCTGCTGCAGAACCACAGCAGTGGAGCTGCCCAAGCCCTTGGGAAGCCACTCCTTGCACCAGTCTGCCCTAGATGCAGGACATAAAGTTAAGGGAGATTATTTTGTAGCTTTAAGGTTTAATGTCTACCCTGCTGGGTTTTACACTTGCATGGGGCCTACTGCCCCGTTATTTTGGCCATTTTTTCCTTTTTCAAATGAGAATATTTACCCAATGCTTGTACTACCATTGAACCTTGGGAGCAAATAACTGTTTTTGCTTTCACAGGATCATAGGTGGGAGGTGATGAGTCTCAGATGAGACTTAATACTTTTGTCTTCATGCTGAAAACATTTAAGACTTTGTGTGGAACTATTGGGAGAGATAATTGTGTTTTGCAATGTGAGAAAAGCATCTGGAGAACTAAGGGTGCAATAATATGGTTTGGATGCATGTCCAGTCCAAATCTCATGTTGAAACATGATCCCTAGTGTTGGAGGTGGGGCCTAGTGGGAGGTATTGGATCATTGGGTCAGATCCCTCATGAATGGCTTAGCACCATCCCCTTAGTGATGAGTGAGTTTTTGCTCGATTAATTTATGGGAGATTTGATTGTTTAAAGGAGTCTGAAACCTCCCCCTTCTCTTTCTTGTTCCCTCACTTGTCATGTGATGTGCTGGTCCCCACTTCAACTTCCACCATGATAGTAAGCTTCCTGAGACCCTCACTACAAGCTGATTTCAACACTATGCTTCATGTATAGCCTGCAGAAATGTGAGCCAAAATAAAACCTCTTTTCTTTACAGATTACCCAGTCTCAGGTATTTATTTATAGCAATGGAAGAACAAACTAACACAATATGTATGTGTGTGTATTATATATATATGTGTGTGTGTGTATATGTGTGTGTGTATACATATGTATGTGTGTGGGTGTACACTGCGCAACAAAGAGAATGAGAGTGAAGATAAAGCTGAGATGACAATTTTTGGAGTCTATAGAATGGGATGGACAAATGGTAACTGACAAATTGGAGAAAGACAAGGGCTAGTCTGTACGGTAAAACAAACAAGAAACAATCCTGATTTGAACCACAAATCACCCTATCTTTTGCAGGGCAGTTTGGTCCTTCCTCAGTGTAAAACTGGAGCTTTGCTTCTGTGCTTGACATATCAGGCAAGCTGAGACCAAGGAGTGAGATGCTATACTGGAAAGAGGAAGGTTAAGTGAAAATCTGAATAGTTAATGGTGAGACTTCCTTCACCCTTCACCTTCTTGTCTCCCACAATGCTGGCATTCAGGATTATACAACCAGGGAAAACAAAGAGTGGCAGAAAATTAATTGGTTTGCATCAAAATCACATTAAGATGAAATCTACTCACATATGAAGAGGTCTGATAATGAGCATTTTAGTGTGTTGTTCTTTAGTGGGCATCACAGGATAAACTTGCAAGCAAGAAAGAGGATCTAGGAAGAAATGAAGTCAATGCAAAGGGCAGAAGAAAAATTACCAAAAACAAAATAAAGCAAAAAACTTCAAGACAATAAAGCAAAAAATAACCAACAAAAAAACTTCTAATCTATGAGACAGAAGAGAAAAAACACAGTGAAAAAATATTTTAATAGGGTTAATCTAAGAAAGCAAACATTCATATAATGAAATGTCCGGTAAAAAAAGAAAACAAGGAAAATGGAGGAGAGAAAATTATCAAAGAAATAATAAAACTGTCCCGAAACTGAAGGATATAGTGTCTAAATTATGACATTTAACTGAGAGCCCAATGCAATGAATTCAAAGAAACCCACAACAAAATGTATAATTCTGAAATTTCAGAACATTGGTGAGAAAAAGGAAACAAAATACTCCAGAAAGAAACAATTGAGTCTCATACAGAATATTGAGGATCAAGATGGCACTAGGCGGTTACGTAGCAAAACTGGAAGGTAGAAGATGTCATGGAAATATATTTAAATTCTGAGACAAATGTTCTTTGATCAGGATCTACATGAAGAAAAATTATTATCAAAATGTGAAAGTAAAGACATTTTCAGACATGCAAAATGTTTTCTCAGTGTATTTCCCATTCATTCTTTCTTGGAAAAACATTGAAATTTATGCTTCATCAAAATCAGGGAATACACCAAAAGAGAAAGAAAATGGAATGCAGGGAATGAATAATTCAACCCAGGAAGAACACATAAATAATTCCCAGGAAGAAGAGAAGGATTCTGTGTTAGTCTGTTTTTGTTGCTATAAAGGAATATCTGAGGTTTGGTAATTTAGAAAGAAAAGTGGAACATTTTGCTCACAGTTCTGCAGGCTGTACAAGCAGCATGGTGCCAGCTTCTGCTTCTGGTGAGAGCTTCAGGGGGTTTCCACTCATGGCAGAAAGTGAATGGGAGTAGGCATTATATAGTGAGAGGGAGGAAGGAAAGAAGGAAGAGTGAGTTGGGGGAGGGGTGCCACAGGCTTTTAAACAACCAGCTCTACTGTGGCTTGAGAGAGCCAGAACTCACTCATTACCTTGGTGAGAACAGCAAGTCATTCATGAGGGATATACCCCTATGACCTAAACACCTCCCACTAGGTTCTAGCTCCAACATTGGGAATCACATTTAAACACGAGATTTGGAGGGGACAAATATCCAAAATAGAACAGGTTTCATAATAACAGTTGTGGAGTTGTCCTGTAAGGCAACTGGTGCATACAGAATCAAGTAATAATATATATTTTCAGTTTTGTTAGAAAAATTGGGAATGAGTTAGCAATAGGAACAAAGAAGTGGTTCCTAAGAACCACTTTTCTAACAAAAGTGAAAAGTGATGTCATTATTAATTTTTTATGTAAATCTAAAAGTTTTACAGTAACATAATCTTAGTAAACTAGGTAGCTCAAGTGTGAATAATAAAAAGTAAATAAACATATTTATATTACATATTATAGAAGTATTACTATATATAGTAATATGTATAGTGAACAATTTGGTCATAATATAAACGTATATTGAACTATATGTTCATAAATTAATAAACACTAGATATCAATTTAAGAAAAACAACATATGAATAGACTAGGAGGATGGGAGGAGGCCTGTGCATTTTCTGTTCATATGAAAACAGGAATGAGTGGAGTAGGTTTAAAGACATTAAATCCTTATCTTCTATAGTAACTTCCATATACAAAGGTTAGCTTTAAAACTGAAAAATTAACGGAGAGATGCAAATTACTTAAAAATGTGGACCTAAATACCAGAGAAAATGACTAGGAGGTGAAAATAGATTTGGAGAACAACAATCAGGAATAAGGAGAGTTTGTATAAGGGACTGCTGTTTCTCTTTATAAGCCAATGTCATTCATCTTACAAAACTAGAAACATGTATTATTTTAATAACAATGGCACACACACACACACACACACACACACACACACAGAACAAGATTGTTTGATAAGACGTTTACAAAGGTTAATGTTGAAATAACGATTCTCTCCACAATATATTTAATATAGTCACAAAAAGGTTGGCTTTTCTTCCTTTCTTTTTTCCTTTGTTTCTTCCTTCCATCCTTCCTTTTTTGTCTGACTTGATTTTGTTTATTTTTAGAAGACAATCAGATATGAGGTTGGGATCCATGTTCAGGATAATATTAGCGTTAGAGTTAAAATGACTGTTGAAAGATATTGAATAAAGAAGAAAAAATAAGTGGAATAAGTATGTATGAGCCTGAAGTTACCTCATTATTTTAACTCCTGGGAATTCACAGAGATCTTAGGGAGGGTTATTGACTTCTCAGAGGATTTAAGAAGTTTGAGTCTTTTTTGAAAGAACAAAGAGGCATAAGGAGACAACTGAGTTACTGTGTTAATCAACAGTTCTTAATTGTGTGTAAAAATAAAAATTGATAGAATTTCACCTTATCCAACCTTGAAAACAAAAGTAAAGATTAGTATCTCTGTATAATATTCTCATGGGTAATGAGGAGTGAGACTCTGGGCACTCTTAGTTAATAAATATTATCCTCATTGCATAACATTAAAATTAACACATGAATTAGAACAGAGAAAAGCAGTGTCTCCCAAGAAACAGACTGCTTCTCAGTACCAAAATAATTCAAAGTAAGTTCATCAATGGACTTATATAAAGATGAAAGGATGATTGTTCTGTCCTGGAATCATAGAAAAAGTGATTTGTAGAAGTCAGTGTTGATGGTAACTTTTAGCCCTGACCAGGATACAAGTCTTGACTGAATATATGATTTCCTTGGTTTTTAATGTGTTTTAAACCACCACAGCTGGGACACAAAGCTGAATGCCATCTTATGACATATTCTGATTCCCTTCTCACAAAAATTTTTTTTTGAGAGTTTAGCCTCTCACACAATTTGTCTTTAAGGAAAGAAAATGCTCTGAACAAGGGGATACATGTGCTTCTCTGCAAATAATTGCTTCGCTTTGCTATTATAAGTTATGAAACTGGTACTCTGGTTATAATTTGACTTTCTGCTGAAATAAAATTAAATTGACAAATTGTCATACTTGTTCTTAAGTGCTCATCCCTATGTGTGTAGTATTTGATGGTTAGGATAAGGATGATAGATAGGTACATTTTCTTTGTTCTGAAATATCAGATTTCTGGACTTGCAGGGCTGAGTGAGGACCAGACATTGGAATTTAGTGAGTCCAAAAAAATACACAAATAAGTTCCATTTCATAGCATTTCTTTTTCTGAGGGCAGTTGGCCCCCTAAGTCTCAGAGAAATGCAAATGGAAGTTTCCTCTGACCTGTGTCTACCCTTTGATGTTTTCAAAGCTTTGGGAAATTAAGAAGCACATTTGCTTTGGTGGTGACAATCATCTTATGTCCACTTGCATATTCTGTTTTTTGTTTGTTTGTTTGTTTTGTTTTGCTTTCTCTCCATGCTCTTTCATTGAGAAAAAAAATGCAATGCGTAAACATGGACTTTGAGTATTATATCAAAAGCTCATAAGGAGAAAGGGTGGGATTACCAACCCCCATTCTTCTTACCAATCCAGTGCCATCTTGCATGCTAATGGATATTAAACTCAGGAATTTTCAAAACAGCCTCAATACATTTCCTGATCTTCTAAGTTAACTTCCCCCAGGACCACCTCACTCCAGATGCCTGTAAGTTCACCTATCTGAAATTACAGATAGTTACTGAAAAGAGTGCATTTCAAAGAGAGCAGAGGAAGGCACAGGTGCTGCCTTTGGAATATGGGGCTCTCTGGTGGAGGGCATAATGTATCAAGGTTTTGAGAAACACAAAAGGTAGGCCACTTGGAGATGGACAGGAGAGAAAGGAAACTAAGGTAGAGGAAAATACAAATTTCACCTACTTGAACTTTTCTTAATTTTAGTGATGCTGTTTTAATCTTTTATCAAAGGTAAAACTGTTATCCAAATCAGAAGTCTCCTCACTCTTATCTTGAGCCATACCTAGACCAAAAGGGTGACATTAAGAAGAAGAGGTAAGCCAAGCCCTGAGAATTGTCTTCTGTGTGAGATATTTGTGTAGCCTATCTATGGAAATGTTGCTTGTGGGTTTCATATCTATTATAAAGCAAATGACATAAAACAGATAGTTGCATTTGCTTTTTATTAGATCAAGGATTCATAGGGTATCAGTTTTGTAAAGAAACTTAGAAATTATGTAATTCATACACATAAATTTATCTGGAAGGAACCTGAGTGATACCAAACATTATATCTAGTTATAGATCCAAAATATATTATCCATAATTCAAAAATCTGAAACAAAAAATAATCTGAAATGAGATTTTAAAATAACATATCAGGTGATAATTTCTACCATCAACTAACATGATGTAAATTACTGTCTTTATTTTAATTCCTCTTAGCATAACAATTCATAGCTTTTCCTGCTGAAATACTAATGTATCTGATTATGGGAGCTACTTCATTCCTGTTTGGGATATTAAGCAATATATAGTACATTGCTATCTAATATTTTAAAAGCACTCATGAATTAAAAATATATTTCTTTATAAAGGATTTAAATAAAAGCGTGAACATGATGAAGCAGAGGAGTGGTTAGAACTCAGTATTTCTGACTCTTCGTTCCCCATTCTTTCTGTTACACAAAGCTAGCTCCCATCTTAAAATGCATCAGATCATATAATTAAAATTGTATATGGGTAACTAGCAAAAAAATAGCTATTCTGTTATAATATTCATGGTGGTTGATTCTTCAAGACCTATTCCATCTCAAATGATTAATCTAAGTTATTAATGTAATATTTTTCTCTTTATCTTTGCTAATACCTAGTTTAAGAATAGCAATGCGGACCATTTATTGGCAATCAAAATTAAGGTGAAGTGCACCGATTATCCTCTGAAAAAGTATTTTTTGCCCCAAAAGAAGAGACACAAAAAAGACAGAACTCATGCTCCTTTTTCACGTGAAAATTATTTTGACATATGTGATGACTATACATCGTCCACAAGTTAAAAGAGGAGTAGGCACAAGGGCAAAGCCAAACAATACAAATGGCAAAGTAGTGATCACTTAAACTTACATAATTATTTTAATTATATATATATATTTACACTCTTTTTACAATGTGAGGTTACTCATGTTGACTATATGCCAAAAATTGAGTAAGTACATTCATATAAAAAATGCTTGCAAAATATACACATTGAAAAAATAAATTTTCAATTGAACTTTATATTTTGATTTAGTCCTATTGGAATATGTAGATGGACATGTTGAATTTAAGGAAATAAATCACAGGAAATTATGCATACCTAAATTACTACACTGTTTTTAGGACATGTACAAGTAATTCTCTAGCAAAGATTTAAATCAAGCGAACTCTTTTAAAGCTATAAGTACCTAATACTGTTAATACAAATGTTTTGATAAAGATAAGCATTAAGAGATTTTAAAGCATTTGAATACATTATATGTCAAATTTTTTTAAAAGTTATTTTCACAGCATACTTTTTAGACCTTATCAAAAGTCTTCTAATATAGTCCCAGAAACAAATAACAAGAGGCATAGCAATCATTTAATATAAGGACAGGCAACTTCAATGTATACAAGGCAATTAATTACAGTCCTCCCTTAGCACACATGGGGGATTGGTTCCAGGACGTCCATGTATACAAAAATAGTATGCTCAAGTCCTTCAGTTGGCCCTATTGAAAATGTATATGTGAAAGTTCGCCCTTCGTATATAGCATTTAGCATCCACAAATACTGTATTTTCTGTCTAATTTTGGTTGATTAGAATCCATGTATCAGTGAACCCATGCAGTTCAAACCTGTATACTTCAAGGGACAACTGTACTGGGCTGGGAGAAGACAATGGAATTGGGAAAATTCATGGCTCATAAGGAAATCAGCTGCTATGTGGTTTAAGCAGAGATTTCAGATTACCCAAAAATATTTACAGCAGACTGACTTTGGTGCCCTCTAATTAACCGCACTTTCTGTTATTCATGCCATTGTGAAATCTCTTTCCACAGAATTTCTGGAATTGACCATGTGACTAGCTTTGGCCAGTGGGATATCTTTAAGGGTGATGCAAGTGAAGCATCAGTAAATGATAAGTGCTGGCACTTAGGGTCTGTTCTCTTACAGGGTTTCCTTTTGGAACCCCTCCACAATTATTTGAAACAGCCAAAACAGCTAAGCGGAGATGCCTACACAGAAGAAAATCAAACACCCAGTCAATGGCACCAGCAGGGCTCCCAATCTTACATCTAGACTTTAGAAGCTACCCTGGCCTCATATCCTACACTATCAAAATGACTAAACTTTAGGGTTGTTTATTATGTAAAAAAAGATAATTGAGACATTCCTAAAATTCAGATTTTATGTGAACTCAATTTTTTTAAAGTACAATTATTATGAACTCATAGAGGCTAAGCAGTGTAGATATATATAATGTGTAACATTTAATCTAGCTCCAACTATTTTACTGAAGAAATTGATGTCTGGGAGGTTCAGTGGTAAGTTCTCAAAATTAGTGTAGCGTGGTGTAGTATAGTGTGGTATAGTGTAGTGTAGTGTAGAGCCAGACTACTGTATTAGTACCTATAAACTAATGAGTGCCTAGCAGATGCTAGATACTATATTTAGACTGGATAGATTCACAGGCCAGTCACAGATTCTCCTTCCAGGAAACTCTAGTGAAGTTGAAAAATACATAAACAAATAATTATTGTATTCTACATTTTATATCGTACTAAACCTATTTCAGTAACCTTCCCATAATCAAATTCAACCTACTTAAGAAGATCGTTTTCTCAGCTCACATTATAATAAATGAGAAGAGTAAGATGGCTAGTGAAATGCTGGAGTCAGGCCTAGAGTAGAAGGATGGTTTATTTAAATTATGTTATATAGATTTTCTTTAAAATATCCAGGATTAATTTCATTTAGAACCCATCTTTCCACTTTATGAAGTAAGCCATATTTGTGTTCTTTAAATACAGGGAAAACTTCTATATGTGTGCATTTTTTAAGGAAAAACATTCCATTCAGAATACCAATTCTAAAGCATAACCTACTGTCTTACCATATGTATGTTTCATTTCCAACATCCTTCTTGTCAACTAAATGTATATAATTCTAAATTCTTCTCCCCCTCACTGTATCATAAGCAGTGGCTTACAGTAGTCTGACAGTTAGCAAAAACTGTTATAAAAGCTTCTGTTATGAGACACAAGAGGAGATTAAAGCACAGCCCTGTCAGTCTGCAGAAAAAGAACGTGTTGCTCATAGCTGGTTATTCTTTTTTTCAGAGCACTGAACTTGGCAGGAAAATCAGTAGGAGTAAGTGGCGGAGGCATGGGACTGGCAGAGATACGGCAGCCCCTGTGGAGAGGCTGTCTACAGATAACATAACAATAACAACAGGATCTGCGGGGTTCCTGCATGCGTGTTGGCTTCACTGGAGAAACTAATCAAGTGGTAAGAATAAAGTTTAGGTTTACGAAATATAGGTGCTTGGCTGCTCAGAAATATAAAGGGGGTGGACTAGAGGCAGGACATTCAATATGTGTTTAGAGATATGTAACTGATGGCAGATAACAGAAGCAAAATAGAAAGAAAACACTTCTATAGACAAAAATCTCGCACCATTTTTATTAAGGAAATTGAGTCTGGAAATCAGTAATGTTTCTCGTAATCTCACTTTACATCATTTAATGCAAATGATGATCATTAGGTCTTTTAGTCTCCACTTTATTGCCTCAGACATTTTGAGTAAATTATATTTTATTTATTATTATTTCCTTATTTTCTTTTCACATTCTGTTATATTATTTTAATTAGGCTTTTTGACATGGGCTATATATAAATATTTGGGTCATAAATTAATGAATTATTTGAGCAGGGTTTCCAGCTACCAAATACCACTTTCCATCCAAATATAACTATAGGATGATGTGAAGTTTATTATACATGTCATAAGAATGAAGTGTGGATGCTGGGGAATGTGCATTTGTTTCCTACGGAACTGAGTACAGAATTGGCTTTTGCTCTGAGGTTCTATTTACTGTCATATATTTTATTTGCAGAAAACCAAGCAGGATTTATTTTCTTGGAAGTGACAAGAGAATTCTAAAATTTATATGGAAATTTAAAGACTGGGAATAACCAAAATGACTTTGTAAAAAATATACTGGGGAACTATACTACCTGATTTTAAGACTTATTGTAAATAATCAAGACACTGGAATATTGGTGCAAAGAAAGATAGAGCAATGAAAGATGAGCCCTGAAATTTAACCACATATATGTGGTCAATTAATTATTTACAAAGTTGCCAATGCAATTCAATCAAGAAGAAACAATCTTCTTAACAAGCAGTGGTGGAAAAATCATATAGTAATGCCATAAAACAAACCACTTTGTCTCTAACCTCATACAATGTACAAAAATCTACTGAAAATAAATCATAGATTCAAATGTAAGAACTACAACTAAAGCCATTTAAAATGAAGCATTGAAAAAAATCTGAGTACTTTGTATTTTACAAAGCTATATAAAATAGACAGTATGAATTATGTACTGAATCAGTAACTTTATCAAAGCTTAAAAAATTATACATACATTAACAAATAAAATTGCTATGACAATAAAAAAGGCAAGCTATAGATTGGAGTAAATACTTCAAAAAAAAAAAAACCTGGCAAAAGGATTTCATTTCGAATGTATAAAACTTTCACAACTCAGTAATAAGAAATCTAACTAACATTCTGATTAACAAGATGATTAAGGGTTTTGATGGATATTTCATCAAAGAATATATATAAATGGCCAATAAATACAAGAGAAAATGCTCAACTTCACTATTCATTAGGAAAATTCAAATGTAAATTACAGTGAGATGCTACAACTCACCCAGTGGACTGAGTAAAATTATAATGATCCTATAGAGTTTTAGCAAAAATGTGGAGCAACTGGATTTTTTTTTACCTTTCTACTTAAAATGTGAAATAAATAAGCAAAGTGAAAAATAGTTTTATAGTTTCTTAAAAATTTAAACTTATACATACCATGCAAACCAGCAGATATATGCATGCATAATTATGGAAGATGCAAAAATAAACTCACTCAAATGCCATCAGTAAATGGATAAAGACATTGTGGTGGTATAAAGGAACAAGACTGAACAAACTAAGAGGTGATGAGAATAGAAAACAACAGGTACTTCTATTTTGCTTGTGTTTAGGTAAATTGGTCTTAACATTTTGCAAATTGATGGTATCTCCTAAAGAGGAAATACAGCTAACCTAAAACTCACATATTTTTCTGAGAAATCACTTATTAGAGTCAAAACCATTTACAAGAAGGTTCATTTCAGCTTTGTTCATAATTGTCAAATACTAGAAAAAAACCTTTTGGCTGAAATAGAGATGCACTGTTTGGGTTCAACTTCAACAACAAAAAAACTTGCTGCCTAATTTTTAGAATCTATCCTACATTTTGGGCTTATTTCATGGTCTTATCAGGATGGCCTGTGGCAATTGAGTGAGCAATGTGGTGGTATCTGAGGTCTTCTTTGAGCAGCTTTCAGCCAATGTATGAGCAAGGGAATAGTAGCTGAGGTCACCATCTTTTGGGAGCAACCCCCAATTAATGAATTACTAAGAGCCCATTCTACTGGGCAATTTTTGCTTTGAGTCTTCCCAGAAGGCTGGCTAAGATATTAATTAGTCTACCTTGCAATCCAGTGACTTTTCCTCCTATTTCTTACAGGTGTTATTCTCTAGTTCAGCTTTTGCACACCAAATTCTGTCTTAGCACGTGCTTTCCACAGAATTCCACAAGCACAACTCCATTCATCAATTAGTAAATGATAAATATATATATATATTCATATAATGGATCACTCCACAGCATAGAAAACAAACTACTAGTACAAAATCTGATAGATATTTTGTGGAGGAAAATCAGCCAAACACTAAAGAATATATAATATATGATTTCATTATATAAAGTTCAAGAAATTATAGACCTAATCAATGATGATAGAAATCAGAACAGTCATTACTGCTGGATTGGAGGTGAACTGGAAGGGGGCATGGCAGGAATTTCTAGGTCATTAAGATGTTCTGAATATTGACCTGGATAGTGGTGCTTGGGTGTATATTTATTTTAAAAATTAAATATTATAATTGAGATTCATGCACTTATGCACCTTACTAAATGCATTTTTTATCTCAGCTTATTCCTTCATATGCACTACACGAAATACAAACAATTTCATGTTAGTCCTTGTTCTATCTTGTCAGTCTATTTGGAGCAGCTGAAAACTTCTGGGAAATTCTCACAAACATACATTGAGGTGAAAAAATAAATTTGAGATTTCCATCTTCTACTGAACCTTAAACTCTGGTTTGAAATACCCTACTTTTAAAAATGATTTTGACAATTTTTTATAGTGTCTACTTAACACATTCTCCAGGTCTAAAATTTTCTTAAAATTGTGATCCCATCAGCCCTCTCTCACATTCTTTACCAGCATATAACCTCATCTTCCATTTCAAAGAGAAAATAGAATTGGATAGATTAGAACTTACCTACATTAACTAGAAGATAAAAAATCTTAAAAGATAGTTAAACAGTAGTGCATCAAAAACTCTTTAGCATATATTAATTCTATACTTCAAAATGAACTACCACCAACACATCTCCTCAAGATAAACAAAACTGAAAAAAATTGTGAGGGATAGATTTTTGTTTCTTGGTTTGTTCAATGAAACTTTAGAAACATTGTTTTAATACAATTATAATCATTATTAGAGTAATAGTGGAGCAAAAATAGAAAGTTACTATCATGAAAAAAGAGAATTTTAGGCAAAACTCATCATATTCACAGATTTAGGGAAACCTACAGGGATTAGGATTAGGGTTATGGTTAGGGAAACCTATCAGGTAAATATTAGCAAAATGTATCCAAAAATGTATAAAGCAAAAATAGTACACCATGATTAAATTGGATTTATTTCTGAAATGTAAGACTAGTCCAATCCTAAAAAATCTATTACTGTATGCAACAGACTGAATGTGTCTCCCCCAGATTTATGTGTTGAAATCCTAGCCCCAAATCCTATGGTATTAGGAGTTGAGGTCTTTGGGAGGGATTAGGTCATGAAGGCAGTAGCCTTCATAAATGGGATTGGTGCTATTATAAAATAGACGATAGAGACAAATCTTGGCCCCCTCTACCACGCGGGGTTACAGCAGGAAGTTGGCCCTCTATGAACCAGGAATTGGGTCACAATAGACATCAAACTTACAGTTGCCTTTATTATAAACTTCTAAGCCTCAAGAACTGTGAAAAATTCATTTCTGGTTGTTTTGGTTTTGTATTGAGATGAGGGTTTTGCTATGGTGCTCAGGCTGGTCACAAAAATCCTAGGCTCAATCTTCGTACCTCAGCTTCCTGAGTAGCTGGGACTATGGGCACAAGCCACCACACCTGGTAAATTTCTGTTATAAAAAACAGAACCACACAGTTTTATAGAACCCTGAGCTGACTAATGTGTAAAGGCTTTGGAATTGGATAATGGGTAGACACTGAAAGAGTTTTGAGATACATATATCATTTCTGTGTGCCCTTCACTCCACTGGCACCTCATGCCATTTCTGCATGCATCTACATTCTAGTAAATGAACTGCCAACGGTGATTTTGGTGAAGGCTGTGAAAGAAAAATGGTGAACTAGAGAGAAATTTTCTATCTCAGAGAGTACCAAGTAAATTCTGAACAAATTTTTGTGGAAAATAAGAAAGCTGTGACAAGTCCAACAGGGTAAATCAATCCCACTAGACCTTAAGTCTTGAGAATTATCATATTTGGCTCAATACCCTGACATTCAGCCGCATTGGAAAAGAAATCCTACCTTCTGGACCCACTAGAGTGTGGGTACTATCTACGGAACCACTAGAGGCCTCAGTATTGTCCCTGCAGTCTTTCCAGGCAAGCTGGAAATCTAGATTTCAAGAGATAGGACCTCCTGCAGAGCTGTGGGGTTGAGAGAGTCCAGGGGAGCCCAGGAGAGCTTCAGGGACCAAGCACATAGCTCTGTGGAAGTGAGGTCCAGGTAGAGAGGCCACTGGACCAAGCTTTGGGACTTGGGCTGCCAAAAGCATTACTGACCTAAAGCCTGCCTGGAAAGACTGCAGTGACAATACTGAGGCCCCAGTGTGTCTGCAGATAGTACCCACACTCTAGTGGGCCCAAAAGGTAGGATCTCCTTTCCAATGCAGCTGAATATCAGGGTATTGAGCCAAATATAATAATTCTCAAGACTTAAGGTCCAGTGGCATTGATTTACCCTGTTGGACTGGTCACAGCTTTCTTATTTTCCTATTTCTCTCTATCAGATTGGGAATGTCTATTCTGTATCTGTCTCATCATTATATTTTGGAAGCATATAATCCTTTGGTCTCACAGAATCATAGCTAGAGAGCAATTTGCTTCAGGATGGATGGTACTCTGAGTCTCACCCATATCTGATTTATATGTATTTAAATAAGATCATTGGACTTTGAACTTTTAAGTTTAAGCAGGAAAGACTAAAGTAATCAACTATTTTGAATCCATAAAATCTAATCCAAAATGTATAGCAGACAGGTGACTAATGAAGAAAAAGACAGCTGAATTTCTGTAAGAGAATGTTGTGGGATTTTCACTCACCAGCTTATTATCCCTCAATTTCCCGGTGGGTGCGTGTTCATGTGGATGGTGGCCTGCATTCCCAGTATAGTTTGCTGGAACCAGGGAGCTAATATAAACTTTATGCTTAAAATATTATGGCCATGTGTTTTGACCAGTCTTGTCGTTTCCTGAATGATAAAGAAGCTGGCCTTTGGTTTCCTGCCTCTCTTTTGTACTTCAGTGGGTATCAGGTATTAGCAGTGTGTCTGTTGAAAAATTCAGTGATGTACACTGTGCCTACTTGAGGAAGGGGATATTGGATAAAGCCAGCAGCAGACAGATTTAAAAGCCTAAGAAAGAGAAGCCTGAGGAGAAAGTTTCTTGAAGTAACAAGAGCCAAGAAGGAGCAACACATATGATGGGGCAAACAGAATACAATGTGTATGCCCAAGGCCAGATGCATAGTTTGAAAATGCCTGAGAGGATCTTAACCCTTCATCTTTGATGGATCTGTGGGCTCCACACAAACAGGTGGTGAAGGCTAAGGCAGAGTTGTATGAGGCTTGGCTTTAGTAAGGGAGTACCTCAGCTCAGAGGCAAGCTGCAAAGACTAAGAAAATAGTATTTATTGTTTATCTTTTATTTTGGCCCAGGCATTTAAGTAAATGTCTGTCCAATAACAATGTGACCACAGAGATAGCAGAACAGAGGCTCCAGTGACCACACACAAGGAATGCAGCTTTTGAAAAATGATTTGAAAAAGTCATGAAATAAATGGATGTCTCAAGTCTTTCTATCAACAACAGAATTCCCTTGGGAAGAAGAAGAATGTGATTTCTTGAGTTATCACATTATAATATCCAAAACACTAATTTTTCAGAAAATAATTACAAGATATTAAAAGGAACAGAAAATAGCCCATTCATATAATAAATTAAATTGATAGAAACTCCTTGAGGCTATCCAGGCATTGGACTGAATAGACAAGTATTTTAAATAAACTCTCCTAAATCTTAAATATACTTGAACACTTAAAGATGACCATGAATGAAGAACTGAAGGAAATGAGGAAAACAATGTGTGAGCAAAATTAGAGTACCAATATAAAATTGAAATGTGAAAAGAAATCAATTAAAAATTCTGAAGCTAAAAACTACAATAAGAAATTTTAAAAATCACTCAATGACAAATTGGAGCTGGCAGAAGAAAAATATCAACAAGCCTGGTGATATAATTTATGCAAAATGAAATACAGAAAATAAACAAAAATGAGCAGAACCTCATAAATTTGGGACATCATTAAGTGTACCAACAAATGGTACCACGTGGTTATTAGGAGAGGAGAAAAAGGAAGGAACAGAAAATACATTTTAAAAAAAGGCTAAAAAATCACAAATTTATTGAAAATATGAATTTGTAATTCCAAGAGCTCTATAAAATTGAAATTGAATAAATTCAAATAACTACCTACCCAGACACATTATAGTAAAAATGTTGAAACCCAAAAATAAAGACAAAATATTTAACATATCAAGAAATAAAGTGACTTGCTACATAGTAGTACAAGGGAACCTCATTAAAATCAAAACATAGTTTATTATCAGAAATGCAGAAGGTAGTAGAATGAAATATTAAAAACACTAAAAGAGGATTGGAGTTAAGATGATGGATAGGAGACAGGACTAGCTTGCAGCTCCTGCTCAGATGGACAGAGCAGCACGTGGAGACCCACACTGGGAACTTTTGCTTTAAGAACTACCACAGGAAAATACCAGGAAAGCCGAAATAATCCAGACTTTTGAAGGAACTGGATTGCCACTACAGGCTCCAAGAGATGACAAAAAAAAAACTGTGATTCTGCTTGCTTTCTCAATGGGAGGCTTATGGTCTGGGGAAAGTTCTCAGCCCTGGTCACCAGCTGTCTGGAAATAAACACGGCGCTGTTTGAGGGGCAAGGTGAGAGTGAGACGAGCCTTTAGGACTGTGGGCTGCATGGGAGCAGGCCTGTGACTGCTGGCTTTCCCCCACTTCCCTGGTGACCTTTGTGACTCAGCAGAGGCAGCCATAATCCCCCTGGGAACATAACTCCACTGGACTGGGAACCACATCCCATCCCCCACATCAGCCACGACAAGCCCAGATGGAGGAGAGGCTGAGCTCAGATATGCCTATCCCTGCCCTGGCCTGGGGTCTTTCTCTACTATCCCTGGCAGCCAAAGACAAAGTCATAATCTCTTGGGAGCTCTATGGCCCTGCACACTGCCTGAGAAACTTGCATACTTAACCAAGTGTCCCTGGACAAGTTTGTATCCTCCCTATAGAAGCACAGCTGATGTGCTTTTGAAAGTGCCACCTCCTGGCTGGAGGCCAGCCAACATACTAAACTGGAGGCACACTAAACAAATACACAATCAAGGACCCTCACAGAGTCCACTTCACTCCCCTGCTACATCCGTCAGAGCAGGTGCTGGTATCCACAGCTGCAAGACCTGAAGATGGACCACATCACAGGACTCTTTGCAGACACTTCCTAGTAGCAGCCGAGAGCCTGGCAGCTCCCCTAGGTGGCTAGACCCAGAAAAGCAACAACGATCACTACAGTTCAGCTCTCAGGAAGCCCCATTCCTAGGGGAAGTGGGAGAACTCTACATCAAGGGAGTACCCAATGGAATAAAAGAATCTGAACAGCAGCGCTTGAGTCCCAGATCCTTCCTCTGACATAGTCTACCCCAAGGAGAAGGAACCAGAAAAACAATTCTGGTAATAGGACAAAACAAGGTTCTTTAACACTCCCAAAAGAACATACCAGATCACCAGCAATAGATCCAAACCAAGATGAAATCTCTGAATTGCAGAAAAAGAATTCAGAAGGTCAATTATTAAGCTAATCAAGAAGGCACCAGAGAAAAGTAATGTCCAACTTAAAGAAATCAAAAACATGGTACAGGATATCAAAGGAAAATTATTCTGTGAAATAGATAGCATAAATAAAAAAAATCACAACTTCAGGAAATCAAGGATACACTTAGAAATGCAAAATACACTGGAAAGTCTCAGCAATAGAATCAAAAATCAGACAAAAGAACTTCAGAGCTCAAAGACAAGGCTTTGAAATTGACCCAATTTGTCAAAGACAAATAAAAAAGAATTATTTTTTAAAAAATGAACAAAGCCTCCAAGAATTTTAGACTATGTTAAATGTCCAAACCTAAGAATAATTGGTGTTCTCAAGGAAGAAGAAAAATCTAAGAGTTTGGAAAACATATTTGAGTATTTGAGAGAATAATGAGGAAAATGTGATATAAATACACACACACACACACAAACACACACACACACACACACACACATGCCATGGAATACTACTCAGCTATAAAAAGGAAAAAAAATGATTTCTTTCACAGCAACCTAGATGGAATTGGAGACTATTACTGTAAGTCAAGTAACTCAGGAATGGAAAACTAAACATAGTATGTTCTCATTCATATGTGGGAGCTAAGCTATGAGGATGCAAAGGTGTAAGAATGATACATTGGACTTTGGGGACTGGGGAGTAAGGATGGAGGGTGGCAAGGGATAAAAGACTACACATTAGGTACAGTGTTCACTGCTCGGGTGATGGGTGCATCAAAATCTCAGAAATCACCACTGAAGAACTTATTCATGTAACCAAACACCATCTGTTCCCCAAAAAACTATTGAAATAAAAAAATTAAATAAAAAAACTCCAAAAGAAAAAATATTCAAAAAGCTGCCAACTGAGAAGCTTACAGCCTGCAAAACTATCTTTCAAATATTAAAGTGAAATAAAAACATTCCCAGAGGAAAACATGGAGGGAAATGCTATCTGATCTGTGTTACAGGCAATACTTAAGCTAGTTCTTCAGGCTATAAAGACGTGACACAAAAGAGTAATTAAAATCCATATGAAAAAGTGAAAAGTATTGGTAAAGGTAATTATATAGATAATATGAAGCACAGTAAAATTACACATTTCTTTTCCTTTCTTCTCTTACGTAGTTTATAAAGAAACTGTATAATACAATATATATAAAATTATATTGTTGACCCTATAACTTATAAAAAGGTAAATATTTGAAAATGGGAGATGGTGAGAATGAGGTGGTTTACTAATAGGGTAATAAGGCTAAATAATAAATCAAATCCATATGGGAAAAATGAAGAAAAATTGAAATGGTAAATATGAAGTTTACTGTAAAATGTCTGTTAATAAATACTTGCTCTCCTTTATTATCTTAGCATTTTTAAAAAACAAGATTTTTTAAAACAATACTTATGACTATATATTTCTAGGTTTTTAATGGTAATGGTTTCAGAACTATGCACATATACTAAAAGTTTATTGAAACTGATACTTTAAACCTTTGATTTTTGTGATATATAAATTGTATCTCACAAAATCTTTTTTAAAAGAAAAACAGACAAGGCGATAGCTTGGAAGACTGATTTTCCCTGAGATAGGAAATAAATATCAGATATTTTAGAAATAGCAAAAGTCTAGAGAAAACAATTGACATATGGAAAATAAAATAAAAATAATTCACAGTTTAATTTTCTTGCTCCTCCAGGCTAATTTACTTTTCCCATTTTAGGATTCCTCTAAGTTGTATCATTAGAAGCAGAACATGGGGAAATTAAGTAAGTGAGGGAGACTTCCTGCTGTTCCTGTTGCAAGGAGGTTATTTTTTGTCTGGATTAAAATACTTTTAAATTTTGCTAAATGTGACTCAAATTTGCAGTCTCATGAGAAAATTTGAGAATTTTTTTTTGTGGGGGAGAGTAACCATAAGTCAAAATACCTACCAGATAGCTTAATTAAAAAGTGAAATTATCATTGCTGTCTTTGCTGTTACCGAATGTTAACCCTCTACCCTGGCCCTGGAACCTGCCATATGCGTGCAGACTTTTCAAAAATCCCATTCATCATGTCTACTTTGAAAGTGTAAAATTAGTTACATGAAACTACAGGAGGTTCCAATTAATATATGTGGACTATCCTAGTTTCAATTTCTTCCAATAAAAAGATATTTATTAGTATAAGAGTCCTGTCATATCTAACTAAAGGAAAAAAAAACAGAGCCAAATTACAATGCTATCTCAGTTGGTTAGTGAACACAAGCTTGTAGCTCCTGTTAGTGTTCTAACTTGTCATTCAGATGTTGCAGGTGAATACAGGGGTGTTCATTATATGTTCATTCTGTCTTTGTTGCTACTATAGCAAGTATTTATAAAAATGAAGCTATTTGACCCAACAATCTCATTTCTGTGTATATACCCAAAGGAATATAAATCATTCTATCATAAAGACATGCACATGTATGTTCATTGCAGCACCATTCCAAAAGCCAAGACATGGAATCAACCTAAATGCCCATCAAAGGTAGACTGGATAAAGAAAATGTGATACATGTACACCATGGAATAATATGCAACCATAAAAATGAATGAGATCATGTTCTCTTCAGGCACATGGATGGAGCTGGAGGCCATTATTCTTGGCAAACTAACGCAGGAACAGAAAACGAAATACCGCATGACCTCATTTTTAAGTGGGAGCTAAATGATGAGAACACATGGACATAAACAGGGGAACAACAGACAATGGGGCCTACCTGAGGGTGGAGAGTAACAGAGTGGGGGAGAGAAGCAGAATAAATCACTACTGGGTACTAGGTTTAGTACCTGGGTCATGAATGAAATAGTCTGTACAACAAACCCCCGCAACAAGAGTTTATGTATATAACAAACCTGCATGTGTACCCCTGAACCTAAAATAAAAGTGTTTAAAAAATAAAAAGGATAAATAAAAACTGTCTGTGGATATATGTCCTATGGTAAATTATGGTGTGGTTCAATTTTTACTATTTTCTTCATATTTTTATTGAAATAACTTTTAGGTTCAAATTTAAAAAGTGTGTATTTAAAGAGAAAAGAAAGAGCTAAGCCAGGAAAAGGACAATTGCTGTGAAAGTGATAAAATACATGATGTGTTTGTATATTTGTGAATTTCAGCTATATTCCTATTTTGTTTATATTTTAGCCTAGTAAAATAGAGCTTCTCAAATTGGTGTCTTCATGAATGTGTCCTAAAATAGATGCATGTAGAGATAGCTCTTATCTCTGATTACTTTTAACCTATTTTGTAGTGAGTTCTCTCTGTCTTAGATATTGTCAGCCAAGCAGATCTTTGAATTCAGACATAGACCATGGTATTGTAAAATAGCTGATATTTCATACCTCCTTTTTTCTTTCTCGGAGTTCTTTCTCTCAAGTACATAATACTAGTAGATACTTGATTAAGAAGAATTTTAATTAACCCTTTCAGTGCAGGGTTTAGCAGAAATACTGGGGGTATGAGGCAAAGTGTGTAATAATTCTTTAAATACTGAAAATGATGATAATAAAGTTTCTACTTAATAAAATATGCAAATTAGTTATTATTACCTCAATTTACAGATAAAAAAATGAATGTGCAATAAGTTTGCATAGTGAATAGAAGAAGATGCATTTCAATCTCACTGTTTTTCTAAATCCGCTTTGTCTTGCAGCTTCTAAAAGAGTTTTTGAATTATCATTGCTTCACCACAACAGATGCATGCACACACACACACACACAATATCACAATAATAGTTATTGGTCAACCATATTTTCTGTCTTAGTAGAATAATGCCCAGCAAGTTATTAATGTTTTGCATAGTAAGTGAAATAAAAGACTATTTTTACCTCTTATCCATATAAAATTTTTTACAAAAGACTATAAAAATATTATTGTATCCATATAGGTATGTATTTTTATATATGAATAAATATATATATATTTCTTTATATATATGCATTAGAGAGAGGGAGAGAGAAGTCAAGAAAAAGTTCTGATTAAATAAGAGACAGAAAACCTTTTATTATATACGTAAATTAATTCTTTGAGACAGTTTCTTCTGTTTCTCGTCTTTTTTAGCTTCCTCTATCTTTAAAATATATGCTCAGAAAATGACCTAGATTTTGTTACTGATCTCCTAGGAAATTTTATGTGACTATTTTTGAGTTGATCCAGTGTAGAACAATGCATGTGAAATAAATCCATAATTTTTAAAAGGAAATTTTAAAAAATGTCTTGGCCGGGCGTGGTGGCTCATGCCTGTAATCCCAGCACTTTGGGAGGCTGAGGCGAGCGGATCACCTGAGGTTGGGAATTCGAGACTAGCCTGACCAACACGGAGAAACCTCATCTCTAATAAAAATACAAAATTAGCCGGGTGTGGTGGTGCATGCCTGTAATCCCAGCTACTGGGGAGGCTCAGGTAGGAGAATTGCTTGAAGCCAGGAGGCGGACGTTGCAGTGAGCTGAGACCGCGCCATTGCACTCCAGCCTGGACAACAAGAGCGAAACTTCGTTTCAGAAAAAAAAAAAAAAAAATCTAAATTCAGTTGTCAAAGTAGCAGATGCGGCTAGGAGTGGAATACATTGTCTTCAACGCTATATATATATATTTTTTTAATCACCACCAGCAGCCTGAGGAAAATATTAGAGACAAATGAGAAGAAATGTTAGAGTAACAGACAAGAGTAACTGAAGAAAGTTAAGTAATTGTTTTGTTACCACATCGTTTGAATGTAAGAAATAAATCCATATAAATTTTTATATGGACTACATTTCTCAATGATTTATTGATAACTATTATGAATATGAAGCATAAGCAGCCAATATTTTCAAGTTAAATTTTAAAATAAATAAATGTCTGTTTTTGTCATCTAGAATAATTTCCCCTACATGATCAATTATCACATTCTGCTAATTTGCCAATCTACTATAAATGGTAAGACTAGAAAATATTTTGAGTGGAAATCTCTTCCATTTTCAGGTCTGAGTCATTCAAGTTATAGTCTATTTGAAGACGAGTTGAATCTGAAACAATGAGTAAGATGATGAGAGCTCGATACTTATGGTTTAAATATAAAAGGGGTATCCCAACTCAGAAAGAGAGAGGAGATCTGGAAAAATCCTGCTTTCTGAAGCTTTTGACGGTATTTTCATACTGCCTGACTAAAGTGCAACAGCTACATATTGACAGGCGGTGGAAGGTATATCTTTATTTACCCTTTATCCCCCTTTCAAATGCCTTTCCCTGTGGGCTCATGTCCTACTAGTATCTTTCTGACTTTTATGTCTTAGGGCTTGTACTCAGGCTATCCTTGACCAACCAACCCTTTTTGTTCAGAATTATTATTTTATCTTCTTCCAAAATTGGAAGATTTTCTGTTTCTTGGATATTTATATTCTATGCTAGAAGTTGTGATAAATTAATCCATCCTAAATGATGCTAAAGGGCTACTGTCAGATTATCTATCTATCTATCGATCTATAATTTTATCTCCCATCCAAACATTTATTCGTACATTTAGTGATATGGTATGTCTGCTGTGTGCCAGATACAAGATGGCTTCTAGGGATTAATTGCCTAAAAGATATCTAGCAAGATGTAAAAGACATATAAAAACAACAAATGGGAAAACTATCAAATGATTATTATAATAATATGTCTCAAAATGTTTTTTAAGATGTATTTGTTATTGAAGGACAAACAAATATGACTCAAAATGCTTTTTTATAAAGGTGTATTTGTAAAGGAAAGAAAATTTTTTTTCTGGAAAACACTTCCTATTTTCAGGAAAGTGCCATTTAACATATTTTAAAAAAGAAAAACTAAATAGAAGGAAAAGCAATGTTAAAAACTTATCAAGAATAAATAAATGGGATCTAAATATTGAGAGAAAGGATTCTCAAATTTGTGCTCCCAGAATCAGAGGCATCAGCATCACATAGCAGCTTGTTAGAAAGCACATTCTTGGACCCAGCCCAGAACTACTAAATGAGAAACTCTAGGAGTGGGGACCAGCAATCTGTGTTTAACATGCCTCTCACATGATTCTGAAGCATCCTTTAATAACTGAAGAGCAAGTCATTTTTTTTTAACTAACTATTTGGTATAGCTCCAATGTAGGTTATACAGGTATGAATTCAAAAGAGATTTGGGTTCTGCCCAGTAGAATATTGGAAAATATTTGATGACAAGCATAGAATTGAAGTGTTCATAAGAGTTCTAAGAAAATAACTCTTATAGTATCATCAACATTTAATAAAGTTGGTGGAGAGATACTTCATAAACCATGAGTGGTGTATGAATAAAGCTTTAGCATCATTAGTGGAAGAAGAGTGATGGAGAGGAGATACATATAAACATAATTGGAAATGTACAGTTTCTCAGAAAACTTGTATATCTTTCAACAGGATTTCTGGAGACAAGGCTCTACTGAAGAAAATTAAATACAGGGAATTGTAAGCACCATGGCATGTTGATGGAGATAAGGTTGATTGAAAGGGATTTGTGCTACTCTACAAAGTAAAACTTCTGTTTATAGCAATGTGTACTATGCAATATGAAGGAAAGACAGCAGAGTCACTGTCTTATGTTCTTTGTATTCTTTATGTATATTAAGCAAGTCTGTATGTGCCTAAACTCCAATTATGGGTTAGATTCAAGTTAGCTCCCAAATGGTTCATAGACTCCAGACCAGCTCTAGGCCTCTCGAATCCAGATTCCTGTGTGCCCTAGACAAAACATTGTAACAATTAACTGGTTTTATGGCAACATTTGAAAAATAAACTTCTAAACTTGCCTGCAGAATTCAAAGAAAGCTTTGGGAAAAAAAGCTGGCTTTTGAGTTCAATCTTTATTATTGTATAGATGTATACAGACAGAAAGGGGCTGTGGCTTTTTAAATTTATTTTTATTTTTATTTTTATTTTTTGAGACAGAGTCTCACTCTTTTGCCCAGGCTGGAGTGCAGTGGCTTGATCTCAGCTCACTGCAACCTCCGCCTCCCAGGTTCCAACGATTCTTCTGCCTCAGCCTTCAGAGTAGCCAGGATTACAGGAGCCCGCCACCATGCCCAGCTAATTTTTGTATTTTTAGTAGAGACAGGATTTCACCATATTGGCCAGCCTGGTCTCTAACTCCTGACCTTGTGATCTGCCCACCTCAACCTCCCAAAGTGCTGGGATTATAGGCATGAGCCACTGCACACGGCTGGGGCTGTGCCATTCTAGAAAGAGAAACTGTATGAATATACTCGCAAAATGGATGGGTCCATAGCTACTTAAAGAAAATAGTAATTAGATTAAGAAGTGCCCATGCTTATATTTTTGCCACCTAATTCTGGCCTCACTGTGTATCATTTTTCAGGAGGGATAAGATTGGAGGAAAGGGGAGCAATAAGCAAATGTTCTCAACACTCTAAGTAGAGAATGATGATTGATGATGGAGGGGAGTACCAGGGCAGATTGTGGAGCTAATGGATTGAAAATATTTGGATTGAAAACCTGGGACAATTAGCATCTTGTATTTAGCAAGTAGCAAGCAGCACTGAGAGGTCCCCTTTTCCACTATTAGTGGATTTACTAGCTCTCCTTAGAAGGCTCACTGCCACTCAAAAAAATACATTGCATAGATTTTTAAAAACCAATTTCAGTTAAACTTGAAGAGAAAAACAGTATTCTAATCCATGAGGATTTCACTTATTCTAAAACCACAACACACATACACACACACACACACGAACCTATTATTACACTTTTTTCTAGAAAACATGGTTTTTATTTGGCTTTATTTTGGCTCCAGCTCTCTTTGGGGTCCCCTACAGACTCCAACTGCAGGACTATGTTATTTAGTTGTCTTGTTATACCAGAAGAGCATTGGAAGAGAGGGCAAGCCAGGAGCTTGCAGAGGGTCTGCTTTATGCTCAGCTTTCTTCACTATCCCCCCTGGTTCCACCTTCCTGTCAATCATGAGATAACTTGAATATTGGAGATAAGTAGCAGAACTTAAAATCGAACCCAAATTTTTAAACTCCAAACATAATGCTCTTTCTGGGAAACATTCAGAGTGACACAATAGTAAATATTGCAAATATAACATGTCCGTATTAAGCGTAAAGAAAGTCAATTTTATGGATTGAATTGTGTCCATCACAAAAAGATAAAATTTGAGTCCTAAACCCCAGTACTAAGAATGTGACCATATTTTGAGATAGGTCATTATAGAGGTAATCAAATTAAAATGAGCTCTGCAGGGTAAATCTTAATCCAATGTGACTGGTGTCCTCATAAACAGGTGCAGTTTGGACACAGAGACTGACACACAGGAAGAATACCATGTGAAGACTGGAGTTTTGCATAGAGAAGCCAAGGAGCTACCAGAAGCTAGGAGAATGGCCTGGAACAGACCTTTCCTTAGTGCCTTCAGAGAGAGCATGGCGCTGCCAACATCTTGATCTCAGACTTCCAGCATCCTGAATTGTGAGATAAATTTCTGCTGTTTAAACCATATAATTTGTGATACTTTGCTATGGCAACTGTCACAGCTATTATAAGCACCTAACCCTTTTTTTAATCTTTTAAGAAACTTTTTGCTTTCATCTACTTTTTTTGTTCTGGTTATTCCATATTTTACTTTAAGATTTAGTCTTCTGTCAATAAAGCAATAATTTCAGATCAATTTCAATAAAAAATTAATAATGTCCAAACACTACTTTTCCAATATTGTGAGATAATTTTTGAGATATTAATTTGTATTTGCTTTCCTTCTACTTTCTTATTACAGAAATGTAGCCAGAATTTTTCTATTTTCTTGTCTCAAGTAAATGGGTGGCGTGGGAATTTAGAATTTATATAACCCAAGGCAACTAAAGACCTGTCTCTAACAGTCATTTGTGGTAGTCTCACCTCACTGAGAATATTATGTTTGAGGAAGCATAAGAGAAAGAGAGAGTGTATAGATTTCCTACAAGATGAGGATAATAAAGTTGTGCAGATTAGCAGGATTCTCATCTCCTTGAAGAACCCTGAGGAGGATAAAATCTCAGAATTGATTTTATTGTGCACCTGCATGGGTGAGGTAAAACCCAGACATATAGGTTTCCAGCCTTATCAAGATATCCGTGTGTGATAGGCAGAAATCTACAGAGGTCCCAGCAGATTCCTGTTCTCTGGTCATATAATTCAACACTAATCAATTTTTTTAATTTTTATGAATACATAATAGCTGTACATGTTAATGGGGTACATGTAAAATTCTGATACAAGCATACAAAGTTTAATAACCAAATATCCATCACCTAAAAAATTTATTACTTCTTTGTGTTATGAACATTCCAATTCCACTCTTCTAGTTATTTTGAAATATATAATAAATTATTGTTAATTATAATTCCTCTTTTGTGCTACTGAACAGTAGATATTATTCCTTCTATCTAATTATATTTTTTATCCATTAACCAACTCTCTCATTATTCCTAGTACTCTCCTCAGCCTCTGATAACTATCATTTTACTCTCTATGTCCATGAGATAAATTTTTTTAGCTCCCACACATGAGTGAAAACATACAATATTTGTCTTTCTGTGTCTGGCTTACTTCACTTGACATAATGTCTCCTAGTTCCATCTATTGTGCTGCAAATGACAGAATTTCATTCTTTATTATATATGCTATATTTTATTTATCCAGCTATTAATTCATTGATAGGCACTTAGGTTAATTCCATATTTTGGCTATTGTGAATAGTGCTGTAATAAACATGGGAATGCAGATATAGTTTTGATATATTGGTCTCTTTTGAATATATACCCAGTAGTGGAATTTCTGGATCATGTGGTAGATCTATATTTAGTTTTTTTGAGGAACTTTCATACTGTTCTTCATAGTGGCTGTACTCATTTATATTTCCACCAACAGTGTATGAATGATGGTATTCCTTTCTTCACATCCTTGCCAGCATGTATTTTTGACTGTCTTTTTTATAAAGTAGTTTTAACTGGGGCAAGATGGTATCTCACTGTTGTATTGATTTGAATTTTTCTGATGATTAGTCATGTTGAGTATTTTTTACATACACATGTTGGCCATTTTTATGTTTTTTGAGAAAAGTCTATTCAGATTTTTTTGCACATTTTAAATTGGATGATGATGATGATGATGACTTTGCTATTGAATGTTTTGCATCCCTTAAATATTCTGGTTATGAATCCCTTGTGAAATGGGTGGTTTGCAAATATGTTCTCCCATTCTATGGGTTGTGTCTTTACTTTGTTGATTTCTTTCTTGTGCAGAACCTTTTTAGTTTGATGTAATCCCATTTGTATACGTTGCTTTTGTTGCATGTACTTTTCGGTTAATGTCCAAAAAATCATTGCTCAGGTCAAGGCATGGAGCTTTGTCCCTATGCTCTTTTCTAGTAGTTCTAAAGTTTCAGATCTTATGTTTAAGTCTTTCATTCATCTTGCATTGATTTTTGTAAGTGATGTGTGATAAGAGGCTAATTTTATTCTTCTTCATGTGGCTATCCAGTTGTCTCAACAATATTCATTGAAGAGGCTTTCCTTTACCCATTGTGTATTCTTGGAATCTTTATCAAAAAATAATTGTCTTAGTCCGTTCTCATGCTGCTATGAAGAAATACCTGAGATTGGGTAATTTGTGAAGGAAAGATTTATTTTGTTTGCTTGTTTGTTTTTGAGATGGAGTTCTCCAGGCTGTAGTGCAATGACGTGAACTTGGCTCACTGCAACCTCTGCCTCCCAGGTTCAAGCAATTCTCCTGCCTCAGCCTCCCAAGTAGCTAGGATTACAGGTGCACACCAACACGCCTGGTTAATTTTTGTGTTTTTAGTAGAGATGGGGTTTCACCATGTTGGCCAGGCTGGTCTCAAACTCTTGATCTCAGATGATCCACCTGCCTCGGCCTCCCAAAGTGCTAAGATTACAGGCATGAGCCACCGCACCTGGCAGGAAAGAGGTTTTATTGACTCACAGTTCTGCATTGCTGGGAAATCCTCAGGAAACTTACCATTATGGCAGAAGGCAAAGGAGAAGCAGACACCTTCTTCACAGGGCAACAGGATGGAGAGAGTGCAAGCAGTGGAAATGCCAGATGCTTATAAAACCATGAGATCTCATGAGACTCATTATCACAAGGAAAACATGGGGGAAACAACCCCCATGATCCAATTACCTCTACCTGTTCCCACCCTTGACACATAGGGATTATGAGGATTACAATACAAGATGAGATTTAGAATGGGGATACAGCCAAACCATATCACTTGGATTTATTTCTACTCTCTCTATTGTGTTCCCTTGGTCTGTGTGTCTGTTTTCATGCCAGTATCATGTTCTTCTGATTATTATAACTTTGGAGTATATCTCAAAATAAGGTATTGTGATTCCTCCAGCTTTGTTCTTTTTGGTCAAGATTACTTTGGCTATTTGGGGACTTTCATGGTTCCATATACATTTTAGAATATTTTTTCTATTTATGCAATGACTGTTACTGGTATTTTGTATTTTGATTGAGATTGTATTGGATCTGTAAATTTCTTTGGTTAGTATTGTCATTTTAACAATGTTAATTCTTCCAGACAACATGCATGGAATATCTTTTGATGTTTTCATGCTTTTTAATATCTTTTATCAGTGTGTTACAGTTTTCCTAGAAGTATGCCTCTTTCTCTTCCTTGCTTAAATTGATTCTTAGGTATTATAATTGTAGATATTGTAATTGAGACTGCACTCTTGATTTACTTTTCAGATTGTTTACTGTTAGCATATGTAAATGCTACTAACTTTTGTATATTGATTTTGTGCCCTGTGACCCTACTGAATTTTTTTGTCAGTACTAAGAGGTTTTTGGTGGAGTCTTTAGGTTTCTCTAAGTATGAGATCATATTGTGGTATTTTGTTATGGCCTCAATGAGAAACTAGTAAATCATTCTGCAAGGGTGGCACAGAGGTGGAGTAGACACTACTCCAGGCACAAAGTGCCCTGGCAAAAAGAGCCATCATCGATGATTGCAACAGACTGGAAATTGGAGGTTAATTTACTATTTGGGGAGCATAACCTGAGCTTCCAAAATTTTTGTGCAAACTGAAGAATTAGGGGAGGGCTACAGTAAGTTCTGTGATTAAGCTGGACTTAATTTTAAACAAGGAAATATCATTTGTGTGCCTGAGTTTAATTATTCAGATATATTTCCACTTCCCCAGGATAAACTATATATTATATTTTCCAGTATATTTCATCCTCTGTGCTAATATTTCATATGCACAATATGTTTATATTTGTGTCATATGCTCTACAAGCCTCAGCTTATTCCATTACCCTCATTTCATTAGGTCTTCCAAGGTCTTTCAGAATAATACTCTATGTTCCAAACATCACCAATATATAAACCTTGTTTTGCTGGTATTTGTTAAATAAATTTAACTAATATATTTTTACTACCTATCGTATTAAACAAGTCCTTCTAGTTCTTTCATATAACCACATTTAATAGTATCATTCATCATAATAACAAAATAATTCATCTCTTGTGTATATCATGAAACTTAAGCTCAAATACTTAAGTTTGCCTAGGATGCTACCTTTAATAAAAAGCAAAGCAAGAATTCAAATTCATGTCTGCTTATCTCCTATTATAAGATAGAGCTACTTACTCAAGCATCAGTTGGTAAGTAACCGTTTAACAAGTAAATCCTATTGAAAAAATCACTGTAGACTGCCTAATGCGTTACCCTTCCCTGTGGTCTTTTTATTTCAATAAAGCATAAGTCCTTGAATCAAAGGAATGAAAATTCAAGAATAGAAAAGTTAATCTAAGGAGTTGAACGGAAGTTGGCCAGCAGTAGTACCATCCAAGCACTATTCCAGCTCTGATATCATGCTAAGTAAAAATTACATCTAGTGAAATTGATTTGAATTCATTTTTTGGCATCTTCTTCCCCCAAGCCAATAATGCTGCTTATGACTTGCGTTCATATTGTTGTTACTACACCTCCTACCATCACGGTTTCTCTACCACTCCCTCTTATTTATGCACCGTTAACTAGCTAGCCTTTATGCATAAGCAGAAGGAAGGTCAATCTAGGTGTGGATCTCAGCATCTCAGTGATAGAATGTTACATAATGGTCTGTCCCTCAAGCATTGGCCTTTGGATGAAGGCTTGTCTTAATGCTCTAAGATATCTGATGTGTGCCTTAATTATCATAGTTGTTTTCCTAAAATAAGTAACAACAATGAAATATTTATTATTTCAAGCTAACTCTAATGCCTGATTTAAAACATAATAGTATTCTTAACTTAAAATTGTAACTTTAGTAAACTTCATTAACAACAGAGCAACTCCCGCTTTTAGTGTGAATCACAGTTGAATAAAAGCTGCCACTTGGCATGAAAAGGTGTATGATTAGAAGTTACTGTGATGTTTCTTTAAAAACTGGAGCGACATTAGAAATAATTCTTATTGTCAAAGGGCTAACTTCTTCAAAATCTGAACTTCTAACTTTAAAGCAATATAAAGTTTGTAAGAAAAAAAGGAAAATAAAAAAATGCATTGTAAAAGTGCCAGTAAAATAGAGCTTTACAAGAACAAAGCTGAGAAATATAGCATTTCTAGTTTCCTCAATAATTAGATAACTCTTCTCTTGAACTTGACATGATGTGAAAAAAAGTTTCTCTTGAGTTGAGTATTTTGATTGTTAACCTGAGTAAGTTTATTATTGTACTCTTTGTTTATTTCCAAAGCCATTTAGGGCATCTCATAGGAAAAGCATATTTTATACAGCCTTGGTTCAGCATAGCTACAAAAATCAAGGGCCCTCTGATGATCAGAATGTGTCCTTTGAATGACATTAGTTCCCAGCTGGTAATTTTCCTATAAAACTTTTAGCAGTGTGAAATCCTCAGATAACTGTGAGATAAATCATTAGATATTGGGACCATTACTTCTTTATGGAATATTTGAAGCTAAACTTCATTCCTGAATAGCCTCCATCAGAGCAGTTAAAGAAATATTAGATTAGGATGTTCTAAATTTTTTTTATATCTACAATATATTAATTTTTAAAGATGGAATTTTGAGAAATGTATATCTAACCTACCTTTTTAATCTCAAAGATTTTATTTTTTTTTAATTGTTAGACTTTAATTTTTGGGGTACATGTGCACATTGTGCAGGTTAGTTACATATGTATACATGTGCCATGCTGGTGCGCTACACCCACTAACTTGTCATCTAGCATTAGGTATATCTCCCAGCGCTATCCCTCCCCCCTCCCCCCACCCCACAACAGTCCCCAGAGTGTGATGTTCCCCTTCCTGTGTCCATGTGTTCTCATTGTTCAATTCCCACCTATGAGTGAGAATATGCGGTGTTTGGTTTTTTGTTCTTGTGATAGTTTACTGAGAATGATGATTTCCAATTTCATCCATGTCCCTACAAAGGACATGAACTCATCATTTTTTATGGCTGCATAGTATTCCATGGTGTATATGTGCCACATTTTCTTAATCCAGTCTATCATTATTGGACATTTGGGTTGGTTCCAAGTCTTTGCTATTGTGAATAATGCCTCAATAAACATATGTGTGCATGTGTCTTTATAGCAGCATGATTTATAGTCCTTTGGGTATATACCCAGTAATGGAATGGCTGGGACAAATGGTATTTCTAATTCTAGATCCCTGAGGAATCGCCACACTGACTTCCACAATGGTTGAACTAGTTTGCAGTCCCACCAACAGTGTAAAAGTGTTCCTATTTCTCCACATCCTCTCCAGCACTTGTTGTTTCCTGACTTTTTAATGATTGCCATTCTAACTGGTGTGAGATGGTATCTCATTGTGGTTTTGATTTGCATTTCTCTGATGGCCAGTGATGATGAGCATTTTTTCATGTGTTTTTTGGCTGCATAAATGTCTTCTTTTGAGAAGTGTCTGTTCATGTCCTTCGCCCACTTTTTGATGGGGTTGTTTGTTTTTTTCTTGTAAATTTGTTTGAGTTCATTGTAGTTTCTGGATATTAGCCCTTTGTCAGATGAGTAGGTTGCGAAAATTTTCTCCCATTTTGTAGGTTGCCTGTTCACACTGATGGTAGTTCCTTTTGCTGTGCAGAAGCTCTTTAGTTTAATTAGATCCCATTGGTCAATTTTGTCTTTTGTTTCCATTGCTTTTGGTGTTTTAGACATGAAGTCCTTGCCCATGCCTATGTCCTGAATGGTAATGCCTAGGTTTTCTTCTAGGGTTTTTACGGTTTTAGGTCTAACGTTTAAGTCTTTGATCCATCTTGAATTGATTTTTGTATAAGGTGTAAGGAAGGGATCCAGTTTCAGCTTTCTACATATGGCTAGCCAGTTTTCCCAGCACCATTTATTAAATAGGGAATCCTTTCCCCATTGCTTGTTTTTCTCAGGTTTGTCAAAGATTAGATAGTTGTAGATATGCGGCATTGTTTCTGAGGGCTCTGTTCTGTTCCGTTGATCTATATCTCTGTTTTGGTAGCAGTACCATGCTGTTTTGGTTACTGTAGCCTTGTAGTATAGTTTGAAGTCAGGTAGTGTGATGCCTCCAGCTTTGTTCTTTTGGCTTAGGATTGGCTTGGCAATGCGGGCTCTTTTTTGGTTCCATATGAACTTTAAAGTACTTTTTTCCAATTCTGTGAAGAAAGTCATTGATAGCTTGATGGGGATGGCATTGAATCTGTAAATTACCTTGGGCAGTATGGCCATTTTCACGATATTGATTCTTCCTACCCATGAGCATGGAATGTTCTTCCATTTGTTTGTATCCTCTTTTATTTCCTTGAGCAGTGTTTGTAGTTCTCCTTGAAGAGGTCCTTCACATCCCTTGTAAGTTGGATTCCTACATATTTTATTCTCTTTGAAGCAATTGTGAATGGGAGTTCACTCATGATTTGGCTCTCTGTTTGTCTGTTGTTGGTGTATAAGAATGCTTGTGATTTTTGTACATTGATTTTGTATCCTGAGACTTTGCGGAAGTTGCTTATCAGCTTAAGGAGATTTTGGGCTGAGACAATGGGGTTTTCTAGATATACAATCATGTCATCTGCAAACAGGGACAACTTGACTTCCTCTTTTCCTAATTGAATACCCTTTATTTCCTTCTCCTGCCTAATTGCCCTGGCCAGAAATTCCAACACTTTGTTGAATAGGAGTGGTGAGAGAGGGCATCCCTGTCTTGTGCCAGTTTTCAAAGAGAATGCTTCCAGTTTTTGCCCATTCAGTATGATATTGGCTGTGGGTTTGTCATAGATAGCTCTTATTATTTTGAAATATGTCCCATCAATACCTAATTTATTGAGAGTTTTTAGCATGAAGGGTTGTTGAATTTTGTCAAAGGCCTTTTCTGCATCTATTGAGATAATCATGTGGTTTTTGTCTTTGGTTCTGTTTACATGCTGGATTACATTTATTGATTTGTGTATATTGAACCAGCCTTGCATCCCAGGGATGAAGCCGACTTGATCATGGTGGATAAGATTTTTCATGTGCTGCTGGATTTGGTTTGCCAGTATTTTATTGAGGATTTTTGCATCAATGTTCATCAAGGATATTGGTCTAAAATTCTCTTTTTTGGTTGTGTCTCTGCCCGGCTTTGGTATCAGAATGATGCTGGCCTCATAAAATGAGTTAGGGAGGATTCCCTCTTTTTCTATTGATTGGAATAGTTTCAGAAGGAATGGTACCAGTTCCTCCTTGTACCTCTGGTAGAATTCGGCTGTGAATCCATCTGGTCCTGGACTCTTTTTGGTTGGTAAGCTATTGATTATTGCCACAATTTCAGCTCCTGTTATTGGTCTATTCAGAGATTCAACTTCTTCCTGGTTTAGTCTTGGGAGAGTGTATGTGTCCAGGAATTTATCCATTTCTTCTAGATTTTCTAGTTTATTTGCGTAGAGGTGTTTGTAGTATTCTCTGATGGTAGTTTGTATTTCTGTGGGATCGGGGGTGATATCCCCTTTATCATTTTTTATTGTGTCTATTTGATTCTTCTCTCTCTTTTTCTTTATTAGTCTTGCTAGCGGTCTATCTATTTTGTTGATCCTTTCGAAAAACCAGCTCCTGGATTCATTAATTTTTTGAAGGGTTTTTTGTGTCTCTATTTCCTTCATTTCTGCTCTGATTTTAGTTATTTCTTGCCTTCTGCTAGCTTTTGAATGTGTTTGCTCTTGCTTTTCTAGTTCTTTTAATTGTGATGTTAGGGTGTCAATTTTGGATCTTTCCTGCTTTCTCTTGTGGGCATTTAGTGCTATAAATTTCCCTCTACACACTGCTTTGAATGCGTCCCAGAGATTCTGGTACGTTGTGTCTTTGTTCTCGTTGGTTTCAAAGAACATCTTTATTTCTGCCTTCATTTTGTTATGTACCCAGTAGTCATTCAGGAGCAGGTTGTTCAGTTTCCATGTAGTTGAGCGGTTTTGAGTGAGATTCTTAATCCTGAGTTCTAGTTTGATTGCACTGTGGTCTGAGAGATAGTTTGTTATAATTTCTGTTCTTTTACATTTGCTGAGGAGAGCTTTACTTCCAAGTATGTGGTCAATTTCGGAAAAGGTGTCGTCTGGTGCTGAAAAAAATGTATATTCTGTTGATTTGGGGTGAAGAGTTCTGTAGATGTCTATTAGGTCTGCTTGGTGCAGAGCTGAGTTCAATTCCTGGGTATCCTTGTTGACTTTCTGTCTCATTGATCTGTCTAATGTTGACAGTGGGGTGTTGAAGTCTCCCATTATTAATGTGTGGGAGTCTAAGTCTCTTTGTAGGTCACTCAGGACTTGCTTTATGAATCTGGGTGCTCCTGTATTGGGTGCATATATATTTAGGATAGTTAGCTCTTCTTGTTGAATTGATCCCTTTACCATTATGTAATGGCCTTCTTTGTCTCTTTTGATCTTTGTTGGTTTAAAGTCTGTTTTATCAGAGACTAGGATTGCAACCCCTGCCTTTTTTTGTTTTCCATTTGCTTGGTAGATCTTCCTCCATCCTTTTATTTTGAGTCTATGTGTGTCTCTGCACGTGAGATGGGTTTCCTGAATACAGCACACTGATGGGTCTTGACTCTTTATCCAATTTGCCAGTCTGTGTCTTTTAATTGGAGCATTTAGTCCATTTACATTTAAAGTTAATATTGTTATGTGTGAATTTGATCCTGTCATTATGATGTTAGCTGGTTATTTTGCTCGTTAGTTGATGCAGTTTCTTCCTAGTCTCGATGGTCTTTACATTTTGGCATGATTTTGCAGCGGCTGGTACCGGTTGTTCCTTTCCATGTTTAGCACTTCCTTCAGGAGCTCTTTTAGGGCAGGCCTGGTGGTGACAAAATCTCTCAGCATTTGCTTGTCTGTAAAGTATTTTATTTCTCCTTCACTTATGAAGCTTAGTTTGGCTGGATATGAAATTCTGGGTTGAAAATTCTTTTCTTTAAGAATGTTGAATATTGGCCCCCACCCTCTTCTGGCTTGTAGGGTTTCTGCCGAGAGATCTGCTGTTAGTCTGATGGGCTTCCCTTTGAGGGTAACCCAACCTTTCTCTCTGGCTGCCCTTAACATTTTTTCCTTCATTTCAACTTTGGTGAATCTAACAATTATGTGTCTTGGAGTTGCTCTTCTCGAGGAGTATCTTTGTGGCGTTCTCTGTATTTCCTGAATCTGAATGTTGGCCTGCCTTGCTAGATTGAGGAAGTTCTCCTGGATAATATCTTGCAGAGTGTTTTCCAACTTGGTTCCATTCTCCCCATCACTTTCAGGTAGACCAATCAGACGTAGATTTGGTCTTTTCACATAGTCCCATATTTCTTGGAGGCTTTGCTCGTTTCTTTTTATTCTTTTTTCTCTAATCTTCCCTTCTCGCTTCATTTCATTCATTTCATCTTCCATTGCTGATACCCTTTCTTCCAGTTGATCGCATTGGCTCCTGAGGCTTCTGCATTCTTCACGTAGTTCTCGAGCCTTGGTTTTCAGCTCCATCAGCTCCTTTAAGCACTTCTCTGTATTGGTTATTCTAGTTATACATTCTTCTAAATTTTTTTCAAAGTTTTCAACTTCTTTGCCTTTGGTTTGAATGTCCTCCCATAGCTCAGAGTAATTTGATCGTCTGAAGCCTTCTTCTCTCAGCTCGTCAAAGTCATTCTCCATCCAGCTTTGTTCCGTTGCTGGTGAGGAACTGCGTTCCTTTGGAGGAGGAGAGGCGCTCTGCTTTTTAGAGTTTCCAGTTTTTCTGTTCTGTTTTTTCCCCATCTTTGTGGTTTTATCTAGTTTTGGTCTTTGATGATGGTGATGTACAGATGGGTTTTTGGTGTGGGTGTCCTTTCTGTTTGTTAGTTTTCCTTCTAACAGACAGGACCCTCAGCTGCAGGTCTGTTGGAGTACCCTGCCGTGTGAGGTGTCAGTGTGCCCCTGCTGGAGGGTGCCTCCCAGTTAGGCTGCTCGGGGGTCAGGGGTCAGGGACCCACTTGAGGAGGCAGTCTGCCCATTCTCAGATCTCCAGCTGCGTACTGGGAGAACCACTGCTCTCTTCAAAGCTGTCAGACAGGGACATTTAAGTCTGCAGAGGTTACTGCTGTCTTTTTGTTTGTCTGTGCCCTGCCCCCAGAGGTGGAGCCTACAGAGGCAGGCAGGCCTCCTTGAGCTGTGGTGGGCTCCACCCAGTTCGAGCTTCCGGGCTGCTTTGTTTACCTAAACAAGCCTGGGCAATGGTGGGCGCCCCTCCCCCAGCCTAGCTGCCGCCTTGCAGTTTGATCTCAGACTGCTGTGCTAGCAAATCAGCGAGACTCCATGGGCGTAGGACCTTCCGAGCCAGGTGCAGGATATAATCTCGTGGTGCGCTGTTTTTTAAGCCCGTCAGAGAAGCACAGTATTCGGGTGGGAGTGACCCGATTTTCCAGGTGCCGTCCATCACCCCTTTCTTTGACTAGGAAAGGGAAGTCCCTGACCCCTTGTGCTTCCCGAGTGAGCCAATGCCTCGCCCTGCTTCGGCTGGTGCACGGTGCGCGCACCCACTGACCTGCGCCCACTGTCTGGCACTCCCTAGTGAGATGTACCTGGTACCTCAGATGGAAATGCAGAAATCACCCGTATTCTGCGTCGCTCACACTGGGAGCTGTAGACCAGAGCTGTTCCTATTCGGCCATCTTGGCTCCTCCCTCCTAATCTCAAAGATTTTATACTTGCAAAAGTTAGGGGATTGCCACTCTACAATTTTAAGCTTCTACTGGCATAGAATTGCCTTATTTTGTCTTCTAGATTATATTATCTTTAAAAGCAATTACTCAAAACTTTATTAATGTTAGCATTAAAACTCAATTAAGGCAGCCATTTAAATATTGCTTACCTCAGGAAATATACCCAGATTGTTGAGCTAAAAACCTACATGTCCTCCTTGATTTCTGTCTTTAACTAATCTTCTTGCTTCTACTCTTTTGTCCCTTGTTATTCATTCTCCAGAAACCAGAATGGTCTTTTAAAATTTCCAACCAAAGCATGTTACTTCCAAGTTAAATTCATCAAATGAGTTTTGTTTGTATTTAAATATTATCCAAAACACTTTACCTTAACTTTCAGAGCCCTACACAATTTGCCATTACCTCCTTTTCCAACCTCATGTTATAACACTAGCCCTGGTCTTTGCATTGGTCAAGTTAGACTCCACTTTGGTATGTTCTGAAGACCCCCAAATTTGTTTGAAATTTAAGGCCTTTGGATTTGCTGAGCCTCATGCCTACTATATCCTTGCCAGAGCTCCTAGCATGGTTACATTCCACTGTCACTAAGGTCTTGGTTTATGTCTCACTTTCTCAGAGACACCTCCTCTTCCTTGCCCTCCCAATATTAACTGGTCATGATTCTTTATCATAGTACCTCATTTATTTTTCTCATTATCTTATTTCTCTTTGTTTATTCATTCATTTATTTGACCAATCATTCATTCATTCATCTTACTTTTCAGGTTCTTCTTTAGATATAGGTACCAGAAAAGTAGAAAGAAAACTACCTTTAAAGTTCACAACTACATCCTTGATGCCAAAAGTATTTTCTGGTACATACTAGACACTGAATAAATATTTGTTGATGGAATAAGCAAATGAATGAATAGCTGAGGGACAGTAGTTATAAGTAACATTTAGAGGCAAATTATTAAAACTGCATTCTCTAAAAAAATTTTGAAGCATTTTTTATAAGAAACTTTATGTAATATTATACCTCAAAAGCCAAAGATGAACCTTTTTTGTCTGGCAAATTAAAAAATCAGTTTGAACTAAAGAACTAATGACACTTTTTGTAAGCCAGAATAGAAACAAATCCTGTCCCTAAAGCAAAATTATACATATATATATAAAAAATATGAAATATAAAACTTCCATTACATTTTCAGAAATGATTAAAGATGGAAGGTAAAATGTAGATTAAGATGTAAAATAGCTTTAATTCAAATAAGAATTGATCTTCCTGTTCTTTGCCATGTAAGACAATATTGTACATAGTACATTCTCTCTCTGTCTCCCTCTTCCCCCTCTTTCTAAATCTAGGTAGAGAAGTATGGTCACATAGTGATAATTACTCTTTGGGCTTGCCTTTTCTTTAGCATATAATCTTTTACTGTATAATATCATTTTAGGATAAACATTAAGAGGAGTTAAAATGATGTGGGTCTTTTCAGAAATAAACCTACATTTTAGATATTTAAACAATAATGATTTTAACATAATACACTGTGATCACCAATGCAAATTTGTAGTAAATTTGGAAATAGTCGATCTCTATATTATCAATACTCTGCAATCTTGAGCATCCTGATTGAGTTAAGGTAATTCCATTGCTCAGATGATTAAAACTCACAATTTGTTAGTTTGAATAAAACTCACAATTTGTTAGTCTGAATATAAGCTTAGTAGTTCCTTTTTACCTGTGAACAGAAGACAAATTAACCTTTTAACAGTTAACCTTATTATCCATTGTAAACATTCTATGGGCATAATACATCATAGGTAGTGACGTAGGTGCTTAGAAAGCCTATTAACTCTAAACCAATAGAGTACCACTTAATGAACTGCAGCAATAACGATCCAAGGGGTTCCCTTGTGGACTGAAGAGCTTTGCTGCCCTAGATGCCTAAGCACTACTCAGGAGAAATTTAGACACTTGGAAAAATGCATGCCATGGAAACTGTACCTATATAAGCAATGCAAAGTCAAGACTTAAGGTACTTTTTCCAGATAATTCAAAGTCAAAGAAAAGTATTTATAAAATACTTTAAAATAATTGAGAGAAGCATAATGTTATGAAGTTTTTGAGAGAGAGGCTGTTCTGTGATATTTATTTCTATAGTGCATTGCACTATGTACCACACAGTAGGTTCTCAATAAACATTTGTTGAATAGGTGGATCATGTGAATAAATACATAAATTATTTATTTTCTTTTAAAATCCAAACGTATGTAATCTTTTTTCAAACAAGATACTAATAAGGATGTAATAACTTTTTGGGCACTATATATTTAATTTTTTAATCAGTAAGACAATTCATATGTTATACATAATGTTTTCATTTACTTTTATTTCACTTTTCCTAAAAATGATTTGTGGAAGGTTCTTTTAATGGAAAATAATTTTTAAAATATTATAATTATAATTATAATTTTAATAAACAACGTATGTTTTGAAAAACTTTACAGAAATAATTTGCATACTAATTTTAATAACATAGTGTTTCAAATTATAATCCTAACCATAAAGAGCTTATTCCTCAAACAAGTTGCTTTTCCACAAAAAAAGCAAAATTATTTTAGTTTGTTTTTCCTTGGTAAAGTCTTTTTCATTCAAGTGATTCTTTTAGTTCTTGAGGTTAGACTTGATAAACAAAGCCAAGTTCATACTATTGCTTTACTTGCATGTTATTTTTCTGTGTAATTTTATTTCAGAATTCCCTAGTATGTGTTATTCTAGACAGAAGAGTTCTAATACAGTAGCCTTTCACATATAACTTTTCTATTCCTTTGATAATTTAATGTGTTATTCTCTCTTGCTAATTTTTAAATGATTTTTTAAAAAAACCTTCTGGAAGCATTTATTGATTCAATAATTAGAACTGTGTGAAAAATCTATTGTAGATTTTATTTTTAATACGTTTCCAGCATAAAAAAATCATTAATTAGCTTGTTTTAACTACAAAATTAGAAGAGACTGATGTCTTCAAATAACCAATAATTACCCTGGACTCTTATCTAGTAGTATAATTTAAACAATTATCTCATTCTGCAAATATAATTTCAAGTATTGTTTTCCTAAAGGCCTAATCTGGATGAAATAACCTGAGAATCATTTAATTAGAGGAGTGTCAGAGATTTTTTTTCCAGAGTTTAAATTATACATTCAAAAAAAGGATAATATCATCTCAAAACCTAAGGAACTTTAAGAAAGTTTTTCAAACATTAATTGCCTTTCTTGAAAGTATATACATTGGCATAATGTTTTTATATATTGTTCTTCTCTTTAAACAAATTATCTATGAACACTCATAATGCCCAACTAATGTATTGGTATTATAAAACAAAATATTATATTAGAACATTATTGAACACTTTTCTAAAAGTATTAAAACTCTAAAGAAAAACATTTCACATACTGTAGATTATTTGCTTATGTTCTTATTAACACTCTAAAATAAAGCTAGTAAATTATTCACCATGATTGTAACAATTTCAGAAAATATGGTCTCTCCACACTGGTGTGTAAATGCTCTATGACTCTAGACATTTAGGTGTGTTCAAATAAATTACTCTGTATTTTAGATTTTTTGTATTTCTGCAGTTCACAGCGTATTTCAATATAAATTTCTCCACTAACAAAAAACAAAACCAAAAACAGAAACAAAAAGGTTAAAAAAACATTAGCACAGTTGTGCTGAGAAGTTATGACAATTTATTTATACTTCCAGGGATACTCTGAGAAATATTTCAAGGCAGTCAGTTCACTGAAGTGAAGATTCTTACACATTTTCAGTTTGTGCATATGAGACTATGACTATGAATCTTTTTAGAAAATGAGGAATTTAATAGGGACAGCATTAGAATATGTGACAACCCACTCATTTTTTTTTCTTTTAAATGAGACTGGCAAGTACAGGTCCAAAGACTAAGATTCTTCTCTGAAACTCCTTTTGTGTCTACTTAACACCCAAACAGGTGTGTGATCAAAGGTAACACAATTATATGGTGTTTAATGTTCTTCATATAAAATAAACCATTGTAAAAATATCTATAATGTCACTCAAAATTATTTGAAAATTTAAAAGCACTATACAAATATTGAACATTGAATACAGTCATAAACAAAAATGTGGTGGTACCATATTTATATTCATTTCAGAAATACCCAACAATGGTAACATATTTTACATGCATTGTTGGGATAAGGCTGGTAACTTTACTAATAAGTAAATGCACTTTTGCTAATCTTATAAACCAATGATTTAATGTTTAAATATTGATGCAAATATATGGAATTCTTCAAAGAGCAAAAAGCTCAGAATTACTGGTCTCTGACATTTACTCTTCAGACTTAAGCTCTAAAATATCGTTTCCTTAGACTATCATGTTACCATGGTGATGTTTCCTATGAATTTGGACACAAAAGGTTTAAGACACGTTCATTTCAGTGGTATTATAGAATTACATAAAATATGGTTGGCATCTGGAAATTATTTGATGGACCCCCAGGCAACATTTTTCATCTTTTATAACAAGGTATAATGTTGCAATTTATTTTAAAATGAAGATGTTAATAAAAAAGCTAGTTTTAGATTTGGATGACATTGATTTCAATTTGAAACTTCTAGGTGCAAGGGGGGACAACATTATATAATAATGCAACTTATAAAGTGTGTCATGGCTTTATGATGGAAAAATTAATGCAGTTTAGCTTTAGGGTAAACTTTGCTTCAGATACAATTGCAGGCCTTTAATCTTTTTGTAATACTGTGTAGAATTCTGCATTAACATCTCAAAGCACAAACACTGTTACAAAAATTAGAGTAAGGACATTTTATTGTTTAAGTTTGAAATACGAAAACTGGGGCCAATTTTCTGCCTTATCCCCCTTCAAATTTTGTACACGGCTATGTGGATGAAAAAAAAAATCTCTGTGTCATACAGGTGTATCCGAAAATATTCATAATTGTAGACCCTTCTCCTTTGGACACTGGAGAGTCTCCAGAAAATGGTAGCTTTATCATCTTAAAAAAAGATCAGAAGATATGTTCTCATTTATAAGTGTGAGCTAAGCTATGTGGGTGCAAAGACATACAGAGTGGTATGATGGACTTTGGGAACTGATGGAGAGGTGAAGAGGGGGGTTGAAGAAGAAAAGGCTACATATTGGGCACAGTGTACACTGCTTGGATGACAGGTGCGCTAAAATCTCAGAATTCACCGCAAGAGAATTCATCCATGTAACCAAAAGCCATTTATACCACAAAAGCTATTGAAATAAAATAATAATAATACTAAAAGTCAAGATATAATTAAACATTTTGTGGATTATTTTGCCTTTAGATATGGTAAATTTGGATGAAAAGTGTATACTTTGTGAAACATAATTTATAAGTAGATATTAAATAAAAGACACTGCCCCATAATATCTTGTTTCATTTAAAATAATTTATTTAGCAAAATAATTTCTTTTATGTTTTTCTATTTTAATTATTTACTTTTATTTCACAAAGCAATTTCTGTTAAATGTATAACTTTATAGAGTGTGCAAAATATAAAGAGCCAATTTTAACGTAATTATTCATAGCCAGATTGATCGAACCAGACTCTATGTCTTAATCGTTTTTTCTTCCTTTTTCCCCTCTGCCAAAAGTTAATTTCTCAGACTATAAATGTTTAATATGTACTCTCATCTGTCTAGAAGGAAGGTCATTCCTAGGGAAACTCTTAAAATAATGTATGAAATAATGATAATTTTCCAAGATGATTTTCTTTTGAATAGCATATGCTACCTTGAGAAATTTCTCTCTTTTCTCTTTTCATTACAAAAGCTTCTCAAGAGAGGCAAAAATAACAGAAAGCTTACTGGCAAGTCTGAAATAATTATGAAGAAGGAAGATGAATATGACAGAAGCATAAAGAAACCTGTAAAATTTAATTTTCCTCAAATTACTAGCATTGCAAAGCGATTGTATTGAATAATATTTTATGTATACATCAATAAAATGTCAGAAAAAGAAAAGGTATGACTGTAATAATAAGAAACAAGGCCTCTGTTTTCAGTAGTGATGTAATTTTGTTCCTACGGAACTTAAAATAATTTTTACATTAGGAAGTTTAAAATTCTGTATTTTGAACAAGTAAGAAAATGCAAACTATCACAGTGTTTGTAGTTGCACAAATGTTTGTTGCTTAAGTTATTATAAACAGTAACTAATATTTTCCTGCTACATCTCTCAAAAATGTAACCCCCAAAAAAGTTTTTTGAACATCATAAATGAATGATTTTTTTATATAACTGCAATAAAACCTCTGGGAAAGAACCTATTATGAGTACTGTGTCAGCAACTGTAGCTTATGGCACACCAGTTATTCCCTTTTCCACATAACTATGTAACAAATTTAAATGTAAGATTGTATAATTCCATAGCTGATAGGAGCCTTGAGCCTTTTTTAGACATTTAAAAAATTAGAATTACCCACCATTTTGGGAAGAAAATTTAATGAAGAAAATAACTCTTAAATGATGCTGACTGGTGTTTGCCTTCTGTCATATCCTCAGGATTAGCACCAGATCATATCTGTCCAAAATGTATTTATAGATTCTAAAGTACACTTCCAAATTGCTTGAGCTACAAGCATGCTTTTAAATTGTTGATCATGTAGAATTAAAATTATTCATTAACATATGCAAAGAGGAGAAACTGAACTACTAAGAAGGCTCAACATTGTATTCTGCGTTTGTTGTCATCAGTAATTGTCGTTAAGTGTTTAGCAGATTAAGATGCTAAGGAAACTGTAGAAGAGTTGGCAACTGCAGCTGAGAATATGCAGAAAGGTGTTAACGCTCCTATACTGCATATAGTTTGTTTGTTTGTTTGTTTAAGGAAGAGAAAATGTTTAAATATAATGGATGCAATGAAGTAGAAAGAAAGAAGTGAAAGTAACGGTTCAGGAGGGCTGATTCTGCTATTTACCATTTGTGTAGGCTTTGACAAGACATTCAACTTTCTGAAAATATCTTAACTTGAAAAAAATGAAGAAATAGCTACCTCACAAGATGCTTCTGATGATTAAAAGGAACATACATGGGTACACACATAAGCATTATTGTATGTGCTTTATTGTGTGCAAAATGCTATAAATACAAGTTATTCAAAATGGGAACTATGGAGTATTGAGTACATTTTCCATATTTAATTCTGGCACATTTGTCATGTAACTAGCCAGTCTTTAAGGCTGCGTGCAGAATGCTCCAATCTATGATTGTTCCTCAGTTGAATTCTGCCATAATCTAAGTGCTATTCCTCATCCAAGTTGGTCCTTCTCCAGTCTATTCCTCACATTCCAGTTAGGATGATCTTTGCAAACTTGTGATGTCACTCATGCTGCTTAAAATCTATTATTGCTCAACATGACCTATAAAGCTGTGTGTTATCTTGTCCCTGCCTCTCTCTGGAGCTTCATCATGTAGCACTCCCCTGGTTTAACAAACTCTGGCACAGTGGCATTTTGTTTTGTCCCTCAGACTTGGCATGCACTCTTCCATCACCGAGCATGTGCTGTTTTTTGTTTGTTTGTTTGTTTGTTTGTTGTTTGTTTTTTGAGACAGCGTCTCGCTCTGTCGCCAGGCTTAGTGGCACAATCTCGGCTCACTGCAACCTAACCTAAGCCCGGGTTCAAGCAATTCTCTTGCCTCAGCACCCCGAGTACCTGGGACCACAGGCACACGCCACCAGGCCCAGCAAACTTTTGTATTTTTAGTAGAGACGGGGTTTCACCATGTTTGCCAGGATGGTCTCAATCCCTTGGCTTCGTAATGCACCCGCCTCGGCCTCCCAAAGTGCTGGGATTACAGGCATGAGCCATCGCGCCTGGCCACATGTGGTCTTTTTATCTACCAGAAAGACTCTCTCCAAATCCCAGCACCCCCACCATTTGAATGTTCAGCCACTATTCACACCTTTTCTTTGGCTCAGGTGTTACTTTTTCAAAAAGATTTCTCTGATTCTTTTGTATAATACAGGACTTTCTTATAATACATTCATAGAGCCCAGTGATTTTTCCTGCAGAACATTTATCTCATTTGTCATTATATATCCATTATAATGATTATTCCATTAACATCTCTTTTCTTTTCCAGACTATCAACTCGTTGAGAACAAGATTCTATTTTCTGCTTATTGCAAATCTGCAAAATATCTGAGTAATTACAGGGGCTAAATAACTACATTTTTATAAAACTCTTCTAAATATTTGTGAAAATATTTTATCAACAATATTGGTTTAATTATTTGCTTAATTATAAATGATAAGCTTTTAACATGAAACTATCCATGATTCAGGCTAGAGGGCAGGTAATAAGAGAAACACAAGCACACAGGTGGTCCGGTGAACATTCTGAGTATAGTGACATGAAGTAAGTGATTATTGAAGCCACTGCAAAATTCCAAAAGGAGAGAGCAATTTAAAGAGGCAAGTTGTGAGAATCCAGCAATCAGCCTGTTGGTGTTTGAGAGGTTTAGGAGAAAGGTTATCAGAGACTAACCTATGAGTTTAGGCAGAACTCAGATGGAGACTCTCAGTACGTGGAGCTAGGAGTCAGTGTAGAGATGACATTGATGAAAGAAAGGGAATTATCATTTGCACAAATAGACCAGAAACAAAGTGGAATTAATGTGGGCTCACTTGAGCTATTAAACTGGAACTTATTAAAGATCAACCTAATTATGTCAAAGAGTCCCTGAAATCTAAAAGGTGGTGATCCTAAGGGAAAAGATGAAGTTAAATTCCTAGAGTAACAGAACAATTTAAAAGGCAAGAAGTCATAAAGATCTTAACACCAATAGGAATTTATTTTCAATGTGAAAATATTTTCAATCAATATAAAGTACACTTGAATGCTCTGTTTCTGTAGTAGCAAGATACTTGATGGAGGGGAGCAGGTGTCAGAAAAGTACATGGTAGGAGATAAAAAAGGGCTAAAGATAAATTAGTGTTTGGTGAAAAAAAATTAAAACTATAATACATGAAAACAAGAGAAAGGAGAAGAAAAAAAGAATGATTTCTCTTCTAGGGAATTTGAAAATATTCTGTATGCTGTCAGGTGTTTTTGATAAGTCAGGGATGTAAAATTGCCGTTAAATCCAGTAAACAACCAGGCTTTGACTTCCCTTTTGGCCCCAGGTGGACCCGAGGTGTTTGAATGACCCTGAGTAGAATGAACTACCTTATTAAGAAGATACCAAAATAGGGCCCAGGCGCGGTGGCTCACGCCTGTAATCCCAGCACTTTGGGAGGCCGAGGCGGGCGGATCATGAGGCCAGGAGATCGAGACTCATTCTGGCTAACACGGTGAAACCAAGTCTCTACTATAAACACACAAAAAATTAGCCGGGAGTGGTGGCGGGTGCCTGTAGTCCCAGCTACTCGGGAGGCTGAGGCAGGAGAATGGCGTGAACCTGGGAGGTGGAGCTTGCAGTGAGCCGAGATGGCGCCACTGCAGTCCAGCCTGGGTGACAGAGTGAGACTCAATCAAAAAAAAAATAATAAAATAAAATACCACCAAAATAGGAGATAATGTTTTCACGGATAGAAATATTGGAAGAATGGAAAGACTGAAAAAAAACGAAATCAGTCTTTTATCTACTTCTTAAAGCATTTCTATGCTATTGTGCATTTCAAGGTGTTTTCCTTCATTAAAACATTAAAATAATTCTATGCCTGTAGCAGTGTAAGGATGTATGTGTCAGATGTGATATGGTCCACTTTTCAATGATTATGACAGATATTCCCTATATAACACATTCACAAAATCCAGTGTATTTGTTTCTTATTCCAAGTTTCCCTATGTATAAATAGGAGGAACAGAGACTGAAAAAGTGAGAAAATAATCATGATAAAAAATTAATCTATACTAATAAAAGGATCATAAAGTCACCTGAAAGTTTTGAGCATAAAATGTTTAATTTCTATCAAACACTATATTCTTCATGAAATCTTTGCTATTTTATTTGAAAAATTAATACAAAATGTTCTCTTGAAAAATAATTTTTCTTACACTTAACTGTTTTTTTGTGATTTCTTATTGTACTTACTTATTTCACACACTGTGGTCAGCAAATAATGGCCCTTAGACATACCCATACCCTAATCTTCAGGACATGGCAAAAGAGATTTTTACGGTTGTAGTTAAGATAAATACCTTGAAATAGGAAGAAGAACCTGGATTACCCAGTTCAGTCAAATCTAATCACATGGATTCTTAAAGGCAGAGAACCTTTTTTGGCTTCAGGGAACCAGAGAGATGGCATTCTGAGAATGATTCTACCCACCGTTGTTGGCTTTGACGATGGAAGAATGGTCACTAGGTAAGGAATGTGAGTGGCTTCTAGAAGTGGAAAAAGGCAGGCAAATGATTCTTTTCTAAGCCTCCAGAAGGAATGCAGCCTAGCTGACACCCTGAATTTTATTAAGTGGGTTCACATCAGACGTCTAACCTACTGAAAGCTAAATTAATAAATTGTTTTACTTTAAGCCACCAAGTTTGTGCTAATTTGTTACATCACCCAAAGGGAAATAATATATACAAACGCAATGATGTATTTATCTGTTCAGAAAGTTAACAGTTGAGAGAAATAAATAATAAAATGAAACTAATGAAGGAGGAAATAAAGTTTAATAGAACCCTCTGAGCAAGAATTTAGAATTCTAATAATAAACAAGAGCTTTTTTTTTAGTTCTTTTGTCATTGAGATGGAATTAAGTTCATTCTTTCATTGCATTTACATTTTATCCCCTCAATATAATTCTAGTATGTGTAAGTAATTCTTTATTACTTCCCATAGATTCCATGCAAAAAATATATTCTGTAGCTGTAAGTGTGCATTTATTATCAATTAGCCAATATAAAGAGTTACACGAAGACTGTAATTTATGTCTTTTATGTTAACCCAATTAAAAAAATACACTTTGGTTCTGAAAGCTTTTTGTAAATTAAGATAAGCAAACTTTCAGAAAATACACTTAACTTCCAGACCTGTCTAAATAAGATGATTAAATACATTTCTTTAGGTTGCCAGATTGTGGCCAATTATCAGCAGGTATGAACTCAGATCACATTTTATTTATCATCAAAGTCACACATATTATGTGAGAAAGTGTGAAAAGTACTATTATGATCGGCCATCAACTGTGGATCAATTCTGCATTACATCAAATCACAAGACATCATGATGAAAAAGGATTTTATGTTAGATCACTATTCACTCAAATAATAATATGAATCATCACAATTTTTATCACAGGAGCTTCTCTTTTGCAATAACACAATTATTGGTGCAGTGTTAAGCACATTATCAGAATTCTTTTTTTTTTCTTTTTCTTTTTTTTTTTGAGATGGAGTCTGGCTGTGTCACCCAGGCCGAAGTGCAGTGGCGCGACCTCGGCTCACTTCAACCTCCGCCTCCTGGGTTCAAGCGATTCTCCTGCTTCGGCCTCCCGAGTAGCTGGGATTACAGGCACCCACCACCATGCCTGGCTAATTTTTGTATTTTTAGTAGAGATGGGGTTTCGCCATGTTGGCCAGGCTGGTTTTTAACTCCTGATCTCAGGTGATCTGTCTGCCTCGGCCTCCCAAAGTGCTGGGATTACAGGCGTGAGCCACCTTGCCCGGCTTATCTGAATTCTTAATAATCATGGCAATCCATGAAAGTTGCAAGAGGGCAAGCGTCTTTTTCTCTGTTCTGTTATTTGAACAGTATCTGCCACTATATGGTATCCAATAATTTTTTTTATGAATAAAAAATTGGCTCAGTAGTGTTGGTTGTTTTTTAATCATTTTATCCCAGTACAGAAAAGGAAACTGAGACTTAAGGAGTTTAAAGTTATTCTGTCATTTGCAACAGAAGCAGGATTTGATTCCAGTTAGTTTGTTCCAGTATCCAGACAGTTTAACACTATATAGAACTTGATACTACTAATGCCAGTTTAAATAGAGATTGAGCCAAATGCCTACTGTGTGGCTCATATTTCTAGTATATTTCTAGGAAATACATAGGTCTCTTCAATTTAGTACTTTAAGATTATTTAGTCTTTCATTTGTTTGTTTGTTTATAGAACAGGATCAACTTCAAGTAACATTTTCCTGTCAACTTTTGTAAACATCTAGATTATTTAGCTTCTCAATCCAAATTCATCCAGAAGCCTCAAACTCCTACTTTACTTTTAAGTTGTTGGGAGAAATATTTTACTCAAAATTGGGTCTATAAAATTTGATGGAGATACACTTTGTTTTTATCATTTGTGGGAAAAAAAATCAAGTGACTGTGAAGGAAACAATTTTTCTTCTTTCATTGATGTTTCATTCCCCTCCACTCTTTAAGTTTGGCTACAGTATTATAAAGACACTTTAAAAATATGTTAATATCTTAAAGTGCCATACTCATAATACTGCCATAAACTACTGCTATAGATCTTAAGAGTTATAGTAATTTTATGTCAGTTTTCTTTTTCTTTGTTCTCTAGTAGTGAAGTCTGAAGGCTTTTCATTGCCATTATTATCCTGGTTAATATGGCAAAGCTGAATCACAAAACTATGAAGAATAACTTATTGCTGCTAGTGTATTATATTCCATTAATATGTCAGTACAAAGAAACGATGACAAATTGATTTATTTTTATGATTTGAGGATTTGTCAAACTCCAAAAGAGGTTTACAAGTAGCTTCTTCAAAATGTAAGAAACACATAAGGAAGTGTTTCTAACAGTCAATTATTTTCACAGGAAGTTTAGTGGATCCATTGCACAACCTCTGTCCAGAGTAAATGCATTGGAGAAACCCATGTAAGAATGTAATGTGATGGTCAGTTCCTTTGTCTCTTTGGATTACCATCTAGTCTGAGATCATAGGTTAATTTTTTCACGAGATCATTCTACTAGTTATTTAAGAGAAACTCAGAGTTTTGTGGGCTTGCCTTTTTAGACTTGGATGTGACATGAACCAAATAACACCTAGATGGTAGTTAATGAATAATATAGTATAACAGTGATATTACTAGAAAATACTACTAAGTATATACAGGTAGGTAGTCATCAACTCTAAAAGAAAATGTTGGAGCTATTAGAACTTTTCACGTAACCATTTTTAATAGTTCCTTTCATCTTCTCAGATTTGTGCCCTGTAAAGATGAAAACAATAAGGTTAAAATATAACATTCTTCTTATTACAATTGCAAACCATGTCAAGTTCCATAGTATTTGATAAGTTATTGAAAGTAATATTGAGTTGCCAGTCAGAGCATGGTGACAATAACATTGTCCTTGCAAAAAATCTTGTCAATCAGCATTAAACAATTTTAAATTGTAAATGCTAACTGAGAATATGCCATTCATTCCAAGTTTGGCTATTATTTGTTGAAAGAATAAGGCAAATAAAAGGGCACTAGTATATATCCTGTGAAAATATGCACATATCAAAATTTGCTTGATTTACCCAATAAATTATTTAAGATTAAAATTTAGTCAAGAGCAATAGAAACTATATGTATAAACACAATAAACAATAATACTTTTAGGGAAAAGATTATATTCATTTAATTATTCAATAGAAAAAATGTATTTAATTATTTAATAGGCATTTATTGAGAAACTTCTTTGACTGTATGTCTCACCCTGATTAAAAGGAGAATAAAAAGATATATAGTTACGTTCCAAGAACATTCTACTTTGAGGAAAATAATACAAAAGTAAAAATACAAGTTAATACAAAATTAATATTTTTAAATCTTCAGCCTTGGAAAATTCAGCTTTAGTGACATTCTACTAAGGTACACATAAACACAAACTTTGTGTCATTTTTGCTCCATGACATTTATTTTATTTCTTCTCTTCTGCATTAGCTCACTGTAGTTTTACCCTTTATTCCATCAATCATTTATACTGTTTTATATATGTGTATATATACTTACATCCCTCTTTGTACCAAGCACTAGGCTAGTCACTGGGTCTATGATAATAAAGACCCTGTGCCTTTATGGGTTTTACTGTGTGATGGAGGAGATGAAATTAATCTTAAATAAATAAATTATAAAAAAATTGAGTTAAGTTCGTTAAAGGGAGAGAGCAAAATGTTAAAAAGAGAGTGGTTGTTTTTAGATTTTAAAGACCTTGAAAACTTATATCCCTGCTAAGCCCTGAGTTCTGAGTTCTTTATTTACATACACCTTATCAGTCATAAATATTTTTTCCTGTGCCTCAAATCTAAATACAACACTATTTAGGATTAAAAAGTGTAAGAATTTTCAGGTGCAGTGGTGGTGGACTCCTGTAGTCCCAGCTACTTAGGAGTCTAAGATAGGAGAATTGCTTAAGCCCAGGAGTTCCAGTTCAGCCTGGGAAACACAGAGAGACCCCGTCCCTCAAAAAGTAAATAAATAAATAAATAAATAAATAAATAAATAATTACAAACCATTCATGCAAAATAACACACAGCAATGATTTCTGATATCTATTAATAAATCAGTGGTATTAGTAGTCATTAATACAGTGTAATAGGAGGAAGATTTTTTTTCTCTTATTGGAGCCATTAGAATAACCTCAAGGAAAGGAATTTGTTGTGAATGTAGCTGCACCTGCAAGCAATTTAGAAATTTGATAAAGGCAGAAGAAAAGTGATACTTGAACATACAAAATTTATTATTTTATTTCAATAAAACCAAATCATGTATTAATATAACAACAAATACAACAACACTTAAAATATTTTTGATATTTTGGAAACTTAGTTTTGCTTTCTGAAGTTAAATCTCAGGCAATTATGTCTGTTCTGCTTGCTTGTCAGTTTTCTCATTTTGGAGCATCATATTAAATGTACGAGGCAGCAAATGTAGTGACGGAAGAATCTAAAACTGATTCTTTTCTGAAAGACAGGCAAAGTGATTGATTCATTACACTCAAACTCAAAACAAACAGAAGATATCATATGTCCCATGCAAAATATGGCTACTTGAGCTGCAAAAACACTTGATATTGTAAGCAATTGGACAGGAGACAGCAAATTTCTGTGTCTCAACGTTCCCGTCTAAATAGGCATTTCTGTTTCTTCCATGTTTTGTGGAGCTCTGTAAGAACAAAATGAGCCTTTGTATAGTCATGAACATGATTGAGCCTTCGTATCATATGACCATGATTGTCAGTTACTCATGCCTGGCACTCTTACTGCCCCCTAATTAGATTGGGCCCAACTTTAGAGAGTCCTTCACAAACACTGTGTTCTTGTGGGGACAAAGTTGCCTGGCATTAAACCCTATTTGGTCAAATAAATTTCAATTAATTATCACTTTTCAATAGTACATAATGCTGACTAGAATTTGAAAATCTAGTGTTTTTACATCTTCTTGTTTACAACAGAGGAAAAATAAGAAAAAATAACTATTCTACAATGGGTGATTGGTTTAATAAATTACAGCAAATGTATGAGACTGAAAACAAAGGTATGGAATAATATGGCATAGAAAGATATTTACAATGTAAAAGTTAATGAACAAGAACAATACTATATTGTACTTAAATATAATAATATCCCACTAGTATGATTTAAATGAGGAAAAAAATGGAAACAAATACGTGGTCCAGAAACTTGATGGTGAATCTTAATATATCACAGAATTATATGGCTTCATGTAATTGAAAACCCTAGTAACAGTGTTTTGGAATTTGGTGTGGGGGGCTTAGATTTCAATTTACTTGAAAATGTTAAGCTTTTTGAAGGTATAATTGATATACAAAAATTACACATATTATAATATATGCATTTTAATTATTTTAGACCTATGCATACACCCATTACAGCATTACCACAATCAAGTAACTAAACATATGCATCACCTCCAAAATTTTTCTTCTGTTCTTTCTGTGTACCTGTGTGTGTATGGTAAGAACACCTAACATGAAATCTATTCTCTTAACACATTTTTCAGTGAACAAATCTGTATTGTTAACTATACTCATCTGGTAGGATTACTATAATAAAAAAATAAATGTGGCAAGGATGTAGAGAAATTGAAACTCTTGTATACTATTGGTGAAAATGTAGGATGATACAGCCACTGTAAAAGACAGTATCTGAGTTTCTTTGAAAATTAAAAATAGACTTGCCATGTGATCCAGCAATCCCACTACTGAGTACATTTCTATTATAAAATAATTGAAATCAGACTCTGGAAGAGATATCTGTATCCCCATGTTTATTGAAGCAGCATTCACAGTGGCGATAATATGGAAACAAACCAAATGCCCATAAACAGACGGTTAAAGAAAATGTAGTGTACATACACAGTAGAATGTTGTTTAGACTTTAGAAAAGAAGGAAAAATGCTGCGATTTGTGACAATATAGATGAACCTAGAGGATACTGTGATAAGTGAAATAAGCCAAAAACAGTGATTTAAATGCTTTTGTTTTTATTGTTAGAGACTCACATTGACAATCTAAGGCTTGTAAAGAAGCACCATAACATTACAGGTCAGTTAATTTCTATATTTACTTTTTGCCATCATGGCTTTGATCTCCAGTGTGATCTCATTTTTCAGATGGTTGCTGAAGCTCTGGCGATCTTATCTACATATTGGGTAGGAACTGAAGAGGAAGGGCAAAAAGAACATACTTTCCAGCTAAAGCAGCCATCTTTAAAGGGTTTTTCTAAAGTTCTTTACAAATGTATGTGAAGTGTATAAAGAAAAATTAAATAAAGTCACAATCTTTTTGTGACCAGAATTGTTATATTTATGGGGTGCAAGTATGTTTTTATATTGTTATCAAAACACTGAAAATGAAAATATTTGGATGACATCAAAATGCTCTGCCAAAGACTGATATTGCAAGAAAAAATAAAAATGAGCTTAAGAAACAGACTGACTTGTTTTGAGATTAAATAGTGACAAAAAATGTCAGTTTTATAAAAATATATTTCAAAAATTATATTATTTTAGATGGCAGAGTGATTTATTGCTTTATTTTCTTTATCTCACCTATCTCATCTTACCAGTTGGGACTTCCATTTCTGCACTGGAGAATATGTTTAAACATATGTATATATAAAATTGAATTTAAATTTAATGGTATATAAATTTTTATATAATATATATTATATATAAATTTCAAATATATCTATTTTAACAGAAATACTTTATATTTATTGGTTGTATAGATAGGCAAACATTAGTTTCTACTAAAAGAAGACTGAGGCTACATTTAATATTTCAGAAACAGACATGAGATACGACGCTGTAGTGAAGAACCTCCATATTCCATCAATCCAGATTGGAAGAAGACAAAGAACACAAGACCGTAACTGATTCGTTTTCTTCACATTGCATAATGCACATTGCTATTAGTAGGTGCTTTATAGGGTAGCACAAATTCTCTTCAAGCAAATATAATCCTTCCCACCCCGCAACACACACCATTAATATGTTCAGATGCTTACAATTTTCTGTACTGTATTTTCTTTGGTTTAAAACTTTGACTCCAGATAATCATTTTGAAAGATTACACATTACCTAGGAAATTCTAAATCTCCAATTTATCTTTTGTCTAACACCTACTATCCATCTTTCCTACTACTATTTCTGCTCAAGCTGTATTCTTCCCCTTACGGGTGGTCTCATTTCTTCACTAACCTGATTAAATGTCTATAATGGCACCAAAGTTATCTTTCCCTGTCATCTAGTAAATGCTTACTGAATAAAACTGAAACCTATTTTTAACACTTATCTTTGTACATTTGAGCTATATGAAACAGTTACTTGTTGTGTTTCCTAAGGTTTACTTTCTAGTGTTCAAGTTTTCATATGCTTCAGAATTATCTGGGGACCATGTTAATGCAGAGATTACTAGTCTATGATCCCCGAATTTTTTTACCTCGTTGGTCTAGACTGGGCTCAAGATTTTGCATTTCTTTTCTTTTTTTTGTTTGTTTGTTTTTGCTTTTTGAGACAGAGTCTTGCTCTGTTGCCCAGGCTGGAATGCAGTGACGTGATCTGGGCTCACTCCAAGCTCCGCCTCCCAGGTTCACGCCATTCTCCTGCCTCAGCCTCCCCAGTGGCTGGGACTACAGGCACCCGCCACCACACCCGGCTAATTTGTATTTGTAGTAGAGACGGAGTTTCACCATGTTATCCAGGATGGTCTCGATCTCCTGACCTCGTGATCCGCCCGCCTCGGCCTCCCAAAGTGCTGGGATTACAGGCGTGAGCCACCGCGCTGGGCCAAGATTTTGCATTTCTAGTAAATTCCTATATGATGCTGATAATCTATACTGGGGAGCACAATTTGAGAGCCATCTCTTTGAACATTCTTCCAAACATCTCTAAGTATACAACTTTGGTCTTGCTGTTCTTGCTGCCTGTATTGCTTTTCTTTCCTTTTTTAATTAAAAGGGGGTCAGATGGCATTTTCTTTAAAAAAAAGTCCTAATTTTTCTAGGAAAATTTTGTTTCTCCTTTCTTTGTTCTCATAACAAATAAGTCTTTTTTCCTACAACACTTTGACAACTACCTGTGACATAATTAGTCGTTATCTCTTATTACAATTATTTATGTATATAACTATCATTTCCTGATAGATTTTAATACATCTCTTTTAGGAAACTGAATCCTTGGGTATGTTCTGGAATAAACCTGGATTCCTAGGGAGAAAAGAGATCCCTGAAATGAAAATTGCCGTAAGGAGTAAGTGTGGCAACAAAATCAGATGGTATCTTGTGGCTTGACTTCTTGACCTGGACATTGCTTTAGGATAAACGTGAAGCTGAATTTGGTAATACCTGACTGTGCAATCTCCACCCCTTCCACTGTTGTCCACAGGCCTAAAGATAACAGAGTATAAGATGTGTGGAATGTGGAGCATTTGGTGTTTAGAAAGCAAAAGCCATGTTATACCTCAAGAACACCAGAATAATTCTGAAGAAAAGTTTTGATGACAGAGATAGCATCAATTTATACTCGGTGATATTTATTCACACTACTCTATATTGGGGCTGTCTTTCTCAGCCAAGCAGATATTTACCCAAATGTATTTTAACACATGAAATACATATATAGATATATCCTACCATAGTAGAATTTCAGGCCTGAGAAATCAGACAGTGTATGAATTTTTAGATTAAATCTCATGGAGGAGCTAAAAACTCCTAGTAGTATAGAAGAAGAGTATGGCAAAAAATGAAACTATATTTATTACTAAATTTCAATATATTTTGTATTTTTTAGAAAAGAGAAATGTTGACAAAATGGAGTATAATAAGTGTTTTTGCTAGGCACACTTTAAAATTTAGAATAAAATTGGCAGCAGAGATATTGAGCTGGGATTGTATCCTCTTCAATGTTAAAAAATAACATTTCTTGTGATGTAAATTAAAATTCAAGGATGTTTTATTATTATTAATACACAATCAGCAGACAGAAAGATTGTTTTACATGTGAATTTTTAAAAGATGGCTTTAAAAATATGGGCAAATGAAAAACTTCAAGGAACGTAACTCTAAAATATAATTTTTCCACATATAGCAGAAGGATTTATTAATACAGGGTTCAAGTCACATAAAGTTTTCTTGTACAATTTTTCATATTCTAATTGGGTAACAAACATTTTTGCTTTTGCTATTTTCCTTTTTTTGTGTTGTTTTGTTTCAATTATTTGCATATGCCATACAAAACTTTTCTGTTAAACATAGCTCTTCTATCTGTAAAATTATGTTTGCCGCTCTGCTTTTTAAATTGAATTTTCTCTTCTCCAGTGGTTACAGACTGGGGTGCCAAGTGAGAACTAAGATTTTTTTCTGAGTCTACTTTTCTCAGAATAATTTTTTACAGATGAGAATGAAGTGGTATAATTAGTGAATAATTACAAATATAATTTTTACAAAGTAGATTGGTATATTTACCTACATTTATTTTTTAAAGCGCTGAACTCCCCATTTCTTTTCACAACCAGTGGGGATTTTTGGATTCCCGTACCAGTTCCCGCAGGTATGATTTACTTTCCTCTGCCGTTGGTAATGCTTCTATGGTAATATTTAAAGAGAGGTTTAAACAGTATCTTTCTTTGTTCATCTAGAGACCTTTCTTCAAATCAAATTAGAGGTGACCTTTCTAAAATACAAATGCTGTCAAGCCATTTAAAATCCTTAAATGGCACTACATCTCATAAAGCATAAAGTCCGTGGTACTTTGCAGACTATGCCAGTCCCTCACTAAGCAGTTCCTTCCCATTTACTTAGACACATGACCAACCATTCCCCCAAACACACCTATACAGTGGTAAATATGTGAAGACATTCTGAGTGTGTCCGGTGTTTTATGTCTCCCTGAGTTTTCACAAGCTCTTTTCTGTTCCCTTTTGTTCTCTCTTTACACTCTTCCATTTTAGTAGATTCCTATTGATTTCCCAATATTCTGCTCACATTAACACTTTTGTAGTCTGCTAGGTAGGGTCAGTGTGATCTCTTCTTGTTTTCTCTGATGTTTTTGTCATAGAAAATTCAGTTATAGCACTTATGTCATCTTGTTATAATTCTTGTTTTCTGGAAATAAGTGCAAAAAATTGGCCAATAGTGTGTAGTGCAACAATACAGATGAATAAACTACTTTAGCTACCCAATCCTTAATTATCATTGTGAAGATAGCTATCCTATTTTAACTTTATTGCCACTAATAAAATAAATTTTCTTACAATGAAATGACAGAATTTTGACCCAAAATGTCTGTACCAAATTTGTTTTATTGTTTATTCAGTAAAACATTAGTATTGATTGTATTTGTATCACATTGTAGTCTTCAATTTTAAGACACCTATTTAGAAATAAGGAATTACATTTCCCTTATAATACTCTCCCTAAATAGAAATCCACCATCTGGAGTTTAAGAGGGTTATTTGACTCCCACCTGGGGTTTAAGAAAGTCATTTGAGATCAACTCATAAATATTACTATATCATAAAATATACACCCACATTTTAGAAATAATGGTGCTATTTCAATTAGGACTAAACCAGTATTTCTTTTTATAAGAAATTAATCTGTAGGTGTAGTAACAACATGCATCTCCTTTGTTTACTCTTTTGGTGTAAGCACCTCCAGACATTGCAATCATTGTTGTGTGGTTCAGTTCTGTCAATTATTTTTCTACTTCTTCATAGGAGAGGATATTGCTCTATACAGGAGTGGTAGATTTATATGTCTGATTGCTCTTTCTTGTCATTCCTTTATTCATCCATACATTCATCTATTCACTGGCATATTTATTACCTACCATGTACCCATCACTCTGCTAGGTACTTTAATATTTAAAAAGTCATACAATTTCTCTACCCACATGTAGCTTAACCTCCACTGGAGGAAAATTACAATCAGAAATAAATTTATAACATTAATTCAGAAACTGCCATAGAGTAGTTGGAGTGACAGAACTACTAGCTTACGAGGGTAATTTTAGATAGTCATCAGGGAAGGACTTTCTGAGGAGGTGGCATTCAGCCAGAGACTTACATGAACTGAATAAGTGAGCTGAAATGTTTCCAATTGTATTTCTCACAGGCAACTCAAAATGGAACTTTTAATTTCTCTTTTCAGACATGCTGCCAGCCACTGTACTTGGTCATCTCAGTGGATGCTACTATCATTCACCAATGTGTGTTAGAATCATGTATGTCATCTTTTATGCCTACCTATTCCACCCTTAGATTTATTTACCTTGAATCTTACCACCTTTCTCCAAGTCCGCTGTTGCAACCCCAGCACAGTACATCATCCTCTTGCAGAAGTGAGGCTGCAAGAGCTCCCGAAAGTTCTGACAACAGCCAGGCTGGACCCCTCTTATCTCCTTTCTGTACTATGTACTGAATTTTATTGAACTTTAATCAGTGCATGTGAATCTCTCCTGTTTAAAGATGGCCCCTTGTTCTTATGATCAGGATACAACTCTTGCAGGGGCTACAAGCCATGATGCTCTAGCCACAGCCTTTCTCTTCATCCTGGTCACACAAGCTCCCTTTGCTCTTTTCTTTGTAGCCACATTGGCCTCTTTTAACTTCCTTGAGCTTATACTTCCTCCGGTCACAAGATAATTGTATAGCTATATTTCTTATTTAGAAAATATTTTCCTTCTCTCTCAATCAAGCTAACTTGTATTCATTTTAAGATTTCAGGATAAATTTCACTTCTGCACTCATCTTCTTTAACACCCCTGACTAGGTCAATATTCTTATTGTAAAGCCCAGAGCTTCATAGTGCTTGCCTGGGATCAGATGCATTTATATTTGTTTGCATGATGAAATGTTACTCTTTCTTTCTCACTGATTCTAAGTTTTTCAAAGGTGCATGCTACACACATTTTTTTTTCCAAAATTGTTTTACTAGTAAATTAATATTTATTCATTGAATGAAATAACTAATTAATGAATTTATTAGTGGAATTCCTTTCCAGCTCTCTCCCCTTGCCTACCACAATTCATATGCATTGTCTTTTTTTTCTTTCTGACAATTTCTAGGCTCTTTTACTACGGGGCTTTTGAACATGCTATTGTCTCTGTCTGGAGAAATTTTTGAATTATGAGTTCTTTTTGCTTTTCTTGTCTTAGTTTAATTAACACCTTCACAGAGAAGGCTTTCCAACTCAACCTCTTCAGTGTTGTAGACCTAATTTTCTGCTTGTCTCTTTCAAAAACTGTATTAATTTTATAAACACAGAATTAATTTGTATTTCTTTTTAATTTATGTTGTTAATTAGACTGTGAGTTCTGCAGTGGCTGAGATCATGTCTCTTTTGGGCACAATTGAATCCTCAGTGATAAGCACAGTGGTTCATGACTATTAGGCAATAATGTTTTGATTGAATCAGTAAGTTTTTAAAAAGCACAGTAAAACAATAAAGTATTTGAGAAATACAGCTTATTAAATTTCACATTACTCCCCCTGCAAAAATCCAATATTTTAGTACAGGGATTGTTTATAAGAAAGCAGCATACATATGAAACATGCCCAGGTTTTCCACAGATGCTAGTTTCACACTAAGTCCCACAATTAATCACATTCAAAGTCTCTTGTAGCTGCTTGGAGATTTTTCCATTACTAAATCCACAAGAATTTAAGTCTTGATCCACACAGGTGTTCGTATGTGTCTTTCCCTGCTTCTCTCTCTCAGGCCCTTATTACTAGTAAACAAACCACACTTCTTAACCAGCCTCCATTCCAAAGGATTTTCTGTCTTGTTCAGAAAACTCTCTCAACACCCCATCAAACTGATGGAAATCGGATATATATATATATATATATATATATATATATGCTATTGTTTTGTTTTAAAGTGTTTTTCTTTTAATGATTCATCTTAATGTTTACCAAATATATTCTCATCCCTTTTCCTCTCCCTAAAGTTATTTAAGTGGAAATAAAGGCCTCATTATTTTATCACAGTGATCAGAGATGAAACGTGTGCATTTAAGAGTTCTGTGTTTTTGAGCACATAATTTAGTTTTTCATTCTACATTGAACATCAGAGATAGGAAATGCGTTACCTAAAAGAGGATTTATCTTCATCTACTGTGCAAACATACTCAATTATTAATATTAAACTTTCTAACAAATTAAATAGAAATGTTCCTTTTCATTTCTTCTCAGTATATGCTAAACAATATGGTGATAATAAAACTAATGTTAAGCCACTCCAGTGCTTTTCTGTTTATGTTATAGTCAGGTGTAACTGTTGAACAAGAAATGTTCATAATCCCACCAATCACCATGAAAGATCTCTTTAACTTAGTTAGTAGACATTACTGAAATTACTTTAAAAGTATTGTTAACACCTGCATGTCCTCATGTAAATTACATGCATATTGTTTTATTCTAGATTTGCACTTTCCATACTGAATAATAAATGAAATTTTGAGGTAACACAAGTTATTTCACAGTATGCATTAAAGTATCACACATTTAAGTAAACCAGTATTAGCGTTCTGTACTTGATATTGCTTTCTCTTATGCACAGAAAGAAAGTATGTTATGTTGCTTACCCAGGTGATATGTTTTCCAGGCTTCACGTTTATACATGCTGGAAAATGGCAAGAAAAATATGTAGGGAACAATATCTATCCCTATATAGACATCATGCATTCTATAAACAAATGCCTTTGAACCAAGTAATTTAAGAGAACATTTATGTTTATGGTGAGAGTTAACTACTAAAACACTATTTAGCTATAAAGAGGGGTGACAGGCAAATGTAAGAAAAAGGCCTATTTAATTTGTCAGGATGTAAGTAGACTTCTTTTCACATTTGAACTTTTTATTTTGAAATAACATTTGGTTGGTTTAAAGAGTTGCAAAGAGATTACAGAGAGTTTCTCTACTCACTTCACTCAGTTTTTCCTGAGGTTAACATTTTGCATAACCATGGATTCTTTAACAATACAAGAAATTAATAATGGTACAATGTTAAGGTACAAACTAGGACTTCATTTAGATTTCAGCAGTTTTCCCACTGTTATCCTTTGATATATCTGTGATCCAATCTAGGACACAATACTGTATTTAATCATATCTTCTTATTGTCCTCTAATTTTTTTTTGGAAGATTTTTTAATTTCATGAATAATGGTAATGATTTTTTTTAATTATTATACTTTAAGTTTTAGGGTACATGTGCACAATGTGCAGGTTAGTTACATATGTATACATGTGCCATGCTGGTGTGCTGCACCCATTAACTTGTCATCTTCTAATTTTTGAGAATTTCTCAGTCTTGTCTTTTATAACTGAAGATTACTGATCAGATATCTTGTAGAATGTCTTTCAGTTTGGGTTTGCCTGATGTTTTGTCAAGATTGAACTAGGTATATAGATTTTGGAAAATAATGTAACACAGGTAAAGTGCCCTTCTCGCGACCCATATCAGAAGTTACATGATATCACTATTAATACTGGAAACGTTAAATTTGATCATTTGGTTAAGGTAGTGTCTGCCAAGTTTTTTCACTGTTTTCGTTAGTATTGTTTTCCTTTCCACAATCTATTCATAAACAGTGAGTCACCAAATCCAGTTTACATTCAAGAAGATAAGAATTAACTTCTATCTTCATAGGGAAGAATTATCAAAGAATTTGTGGACATGTGCTAAAATTATCATATTAATTAATTAGTTTGCTGATAGAGAGAGTCTGAGAATATGCAAATATCCTATTTCTTCTTAACAGTTATCAGTCGGTCCTGCCCGCAGCAACTTTTATTATGGAGTTCTAGTGGTGAATTTTTATTTTCTTCATTCCTCCTACGATTATTATTTGGAATTCATTTGTAAGAATTTTTTTATTTCTCCTGAATGTATACATTTATTCAATCGTTTATGTCATTGTGGACTTATGAATATTTCTTTCTTTCTTAGGGTTTGAATCCAACACTATTATGTATTTTATTACTTAAATTGTTTCAGCTTTGATCACTGGGGACACTCAAACTGCTGCTTGTATATTTTACTTACATGTTATTTCTTTTAGCAATTTATCACTTTTTGGCCCTAAAATGTGCTTCAGGGCCCTAAAATAAGCCATTTTCCCAAGGAAATTTTGTCCTTTTATTGAAGAGTGGTATGAAGAAATCAAGACCAGGTACTATGTATGTTCTTTGCTACTAAGGTCTTGTTGTGAGTCCTTGCCAGCATTTGGTGTAATTTACACACACACACACACACACACACACTCATAATTATAGCTATTCTAATAAGGATGAAGTTAGAGCTCATTATGATTTTAATTTGCTGAATTTAGTTGAAAATCATATGACTAAGTACACTTCAAGGATATTTTAGCTACATGTTACTTTTTCCAAAATTAATTCTTTCAGATTGTCACTACATGAAGCATTTTATAATTATCAGCTTACTGAATAAAATGGTACTTGAAGACTTAAGAATGTGTCTAAGAGCAGTATCTCTCTGTTGCTATGCTACCATTACTTCTAACCCATATTCTTTAATTTTAATTTTTCATAATTTTTAGATTATTTCCTTTGCTGTTCTTTTTTCAAAGGTAGACATCTGGCCAAACCAGATAGAGTTATTTTATCATAAACTGTAGTTTGAACTTACATAGCAAGTATTTTATTGAGGGTTTGACAGGTTTCTAAAGCTTAATGAATATAATTTTTGTTTTATATAAAAATTTATTTATTTAAAAATTCTATTTAAGATTTGTTTTGGAAAAATTACTTTGCCCACATTTACATTCTTAATTGAAACAGTATAATCAGAATGAAAAGACCAAAAATACAAGGAAAACCTATTTAAAAATTTAGAATTAAAACAAAACTTTTGTAAGACCCAAATTTATCTATAAATTTTTTTCCTCATACTTTTAAGTCAAGACCTGACTTAAATTTTTTATTATTTGTGTGAGGTTAGTTTGAGTTTTCTACATTGAAGTTTTTTCTACAACTGATAATATTAACTAACATTGTTAATTAATGTTCATAAAAAAGCCAATTTTTAAATAAAAGAATGCTTTTCTCAGTTTAAAGAACTTAGATTCCTTACTTTTTCCACAATTTTATACTATATCCTTTGAATTCTAGTACTTTAAGATAAATAATTTTTATTCTCATATAATACTTGTATTCCTATGCTTCATGGGAAACTTTTTAAATATACATAACTTTGGTTGTCTACTATTTCAATAGGAAACATCTCCCTAGGAGTAAACTCTAAAAGAGTAAATTTTTAATGAAAATATAATTATGGCTCTGATACAAATAAAAAAAAACTTGCCAATGATTTTATTTAATAATTGTTTAGAAAGCCAGCAAGATGTTACAATGGATTCCAAAGATAATTCAGTTTTACATCTACACCCACAGACATGGAGAGGAGTTGGGACAGGTTAGAGAGTGGGAAGTAAAGATTGCTGATATGAATTTACAAATAAATGCAAAACTACGTTGAGGGTCCGGAATTATATTTCCTTCAATATAAATAATTAATTTGCGTATCTTTGTGAAAGAACAATTCAACTGGCACTGCTATCAACAATCTACAACTTACAGAACTACAAAATTGCTCAAAAATAATAAAAGGCAGGGATCTCTGTTTGGTTGATTGATAGGCAAGATACATACAGAGCTTACCTTCTTTCTCTGTCTTTTGGTTTTTTTATTTCAAAGAAGGATCTGGCCCCTTGTGATTCAGTCCATGGATAAAATTACTTTTGATTAAACAAAATTCGAATTAAATTCTTTCTTTACTACAACACCATGGTGTCAGTGGGCTGATTCTTGTCAGTGCAGTAGGCAGAAAGAACCTATCAGTGATTACATAAGTTTCTGTGGCACCTCTTTCTGCATATTGAAATATCTACAAATTTTTTTTGTTTCTTCACAAATGAATTAATATCTAGTAAAGATATAAATGTCTTAATGCCAAACTTTCTCTATTAAATCTCAGTAAACATTGCTTTTAGTCTGTTATTCGCATGTTGGGAGAGAAGAACAAGGGCAAGTAGGATACCTATTATTTTGTACATAAAATAAAAATGGATTTTTCTTCCGTGATTGTATTTTTATTCTAAAACTTGACCATTAAATTTGGCTATATATAAAAGTAGATACCTTTTTTTTCAATAATTTTGCCTGAAATGTATTTCTCTATTAGCTTGATAAATTTAAAAATATTCATCATTTTTATCTCAAAAAGCTTTCTTATATTTCTAATAATTTTCATCTCCTTGGTATTCTGTTCTCTCTTATAAGAATGTCTTTTATATTTTATTTTTATTTTTATTCATTTTATTATTTTATTTATTTATTTTGAGTCAGAGTATCACTCTGTCACCCAGGCCAAAGTGCAGTGGTGCAATCTCGGCTCAATGCAAGCTCTGTCTCCCAGGTTCAAGCGATTCTCCTGCCTCAGCCTCCCGAGTAGCTGGGACTACAGGTGTGTGCTACCACGCCTGGCTAATTTTTGGATTTTTAGTAATGACAGGGTTTCAACGTGTTAGCCAGGATGGTCTCGATCTCTTGACCTCATGATCTGTCCACCTCGGCCTCCCAAAGTGCTGGGATTACAGGCGTGAGCCACCGCTCCTTGGCCTCTTCTTTCTTAATTGAATAGGTATGTTTTCTGTATTCATAATATTTTTAAATCAAATTTTTATTTTCTTTATTATGTGGGAGTAAATTGTAAATTTTCATATTTATTATTTATTCATGAATAAATTAATGTTACTACCATTATTATTATTCAGTCGAGTGTTTATAACTGCAAAGTAGTTTTTAAATTTAGATGCCATGTTTTAAATTTTAAACTTTCTGTTTCCATACAAAATCACTAGCAATTAATTCAAGGTGTGGATAAATTAAATATTTATTTTTTTCAAAAAAGCAGAATTCAAGAGTCACATTCAGTTTTTTTTATAAGTTGAATTAGAGCTCCAACAATACCCTTTATACACAGACATTCGTCTTAAAAAGAAGTAGATGATTTTTTATTACTAACTTACAGATGAAATGAAAGTATGAAGGCAAGGTGGACTAGCTTCTTCTTCAATAAAAATGCAGGGTCCCCTGCTGGGAAAGAAGAGGATCACACTCTACTGTGGACAAATGAGCTACACATTAAATAATGGCGGGGTCTAACTTTAGTAACATGATCATCTATATAGTATCAGAACTTTTTGACATTGAACAAGTAGGAAGTCTTAATGAATATAAAATGCATTTGGTTACATGTTATTTCAAAGCCCAAGAAACTGAAAAAAAACCTGGACTTAAAGATAATGTCCAGCTTCAGCTCTGACAGATGAAGAACTTGGACATTGTCATTCCCATCCTTACAACCAAGAAAGGGAGATAAATTGAAAATCAATTATGTTTAAGTTGTCAGGTAAACCAGCATTACAAAATTTGGAGACACAAAGTCTCACAGGGACATAATCAAGATCTGCTTACCTGGAGCAGAAGGTACAGAGAGCACTTAAATGGTAGTTTTGATGAATTATTGGAGGCTGATTTTAAACTAGTGTGAGAGTGAGAAATTTGTGGGGTACCTGCTCTTCAGGGTTACTTTCACTTTTGTGAGTTTTACCTCCAAGAACCTTAACATTTTCCACTTAACATTTTTTCAACCTGACAAAAAATGTCATGTCTTTGTCAGGGATAAGGGGAAAGTAGTGATTGTAAAATAAACCTAAAACTTGTGTGTGTGTGTGTTTTTTTAAAGGCTTGTACTGCAGGTTAAAAATAATTTTACAGAGCTTTATCCCAGTGGGGGAAGGTGTATTCTTCCAATCCAGTCACATATATTTATGTCATTTCATCTAAGGGAGTGGAGAAACATAGTCAAAAAGGTTTGGGATTAAAGGAAATAGATTGAGAATGTTATAGCTAAGGATGGAGCTAATGGGCATGAGAAACAAAGCTTTACAACTCAGGAAATATTTGTGACAGTCATAGCTCAGAGACAGAGGCTTATAAAACACTGAAATTTAAATAGAAGATGAAAGAATATTCCCTTCCTTCACACTTTAACATCACACTAACTGGGCTCCAGTCTAATACCAGCCAAATATGATCTAAAGCACAGATTCTTGCCGAGTAGAATTGATTAATAAAGTCTAAATTGGAGAAAGGAGACAAAAATAAGGACACTAGAGGAATTTGAAAGCTCAAGCCCTTATAACTACATATAGGAAACATTAAACACAGCCTGACTCCTACTAAGGTTACGGTAAATCTTCATGCTAAAGACCTTTTTACCTTATGTTTGTTCTTAGTCCCTAATGTAACATGTTCAGGTTTTAAGAAAAAAAAATACAGGACATGACAAAAAGCAGCGAAAACACAGTCGATCTATAATATAGAAATGATCAGAACCTGACATATGTTGGACTTATCGGACAAAGAATATAAAATAGCTATGATGAACATGTTAAGGACTATAATGAAAAAAGTAGATTAAAAGACAAGATGTGCAATTTAAGCCGAGAAATGGAATCTATAAGAAAAAATCATAAGGAAATGCAAGAATTGAAAAACACAGTAAAGTGATTGAAGAAGGCTTTCAATGGCCTCATTATTGGACATAACACAGTCAAACAAATAATTGGTGAGCTTAGTTCAACCAAAATTTCTCCAACTGAATTGCAAATACAAAAAATAAAAAAAGAAAAAAAGAAAAAAGAAAGAAAAAAGTACCAGAATAGAACATTCAGGAAATGCAGGACAATTTCAAAAGATGTAACATATGCACAATTCAAATATAAAAAGAATAGAGAACAGAGTGGAGCACATGAGAAGAAAAAATACACAAACACACACAAACAAAAAAAATCTAGGCATATAATAGTCAACCTGAAAAACATAAAGTCAAAGAGAAAATCCTGAAAGAATTCAGAGGGGTGAGAACAACTTAATTAATGATAAAGAAGCATACATATTATACCTCAATTGTTGTCAGAAGCCGTGCAAGCCAAAAGTGAGTGGAATAAATTTTTTAAAGTCTTGAAAGAAGAAACAACACAATCTAGAATTCTATATCAAGCTAAACTATTCTTTAAAAATGAAGGAGATATAAGGACTTTCTTAGACAAATTAAACTGAGAGAATGAATTACCAGCAGACCTGCCTGGCAATAAATGCTAACAAACACTGTTCTAGCAGAAGTAAAACGGTATAATCAGTCATTTTGATCTACATTTAAAAAGAAGAGCATCAGAGATAGAAAAAATGCGGGTTAAATAATGTAATTTATTGGTTTTATTTGTAATTGATCTAAAATATGTTTAAAGTAATATTTACTAATAAAATATGTGTACTGAATGATTATACCACATGGCAAAATGAAGTGAATGACAGCAGTATCACAAAAGATGGGGGAAATTAAGAATATTCTGTGTATCACTGAAGGTACTCTATGGGGGAAACCATAAAATATGCATATCTATCTATCTATCTATCTATCTATCTATCTATCTATCTATACATAGAGAGAGAGGGAGAGAGAGAGAAATAGATTTATTATGAAGGATTGGCTCATGTATTATCAAGATGGAGAAGTCTCATGATATGCTGTCCACAAGCTGGAGGCCCAAGAAAGTTGTTGATATAGTTTCAGTCCAAGACCAAAGGCTTGAGAACCAGAGGAGTTAATGGTGTGAGTCCCAGTCTGAGTCTGAAGGTCTGAGAACCTGAAGGTCCTGATTTCCAACGGTAAAAGAAAATGAATGTGCCAGCTCAAGCAGAGAGAAAAAATTCACCCTTGATTTTTTTTTTCTATTCAGGCCCTGAAAAAATGGGATAATGCCTACCTACATTGGTGAGAGTGATGTTTACTCAGTCTACTGAATCAAATACCAATCTCTTCTGGAAATACTATCAGAGACACACCAAGAAACAACATTTTACCAGCGATCGGAGCATCCCTTAGCCCAGTCAAATTGACCCATTAAATAAGCCCTCACACTCTGCTATAAGGCATCTGCACTACACATAAATTGATATTGTTATATGAAGGTAGGCTTATATTTGTTAAAAATGTACAAAATTTACATTATAGATTTGATGGTAAATACCAAAAGATTTAATAAGGAAACAAAACTGATTAAAGAAACAACATAAAATCAAATGAAATGGTCAGTAAATTAATTTTTTTAATATACTTTAAATTCTGGGATACATGTGCAGAACATAAAGGCTTGTTATATAGGTATACACATGACATGGTGGTTTGCTGCACCCATCAACACATCATCTACATTAAGTATTTCTCTTAATGTTATCCCTCTCCTAGCCCCCCAACCCCTGACAGGCCCCGGTGTGTGGTGTTCCCCTCCCTTTGTCCATGTGTTCTCAATGTTCAACTCCCACTTATGTGGGAGAACATGCGGTGTTTGGTTTTCTGTTCCTGTGTTAGTTTGCTGAGAATGATGGTTTCCAGCTTCATCCATGTCCCTGAAAAGGACATGAACTCACCCTTTTTTATGGCTGAATAGTATTCCATGGTTTATATGTGCTACATTTTCTTTATCTGGTCTATCTTTGATGGGCATTTGGGTTGTTTTCAAGTCTTTGCTATTGTAAACAGTGCCACAATAAACATATGTGTGTATGTGTCTTTATAGTGGAATCATTTATAATCCTTTGGGTATATATCCAGTAATAGGATTTCTGGGTCAAAGGGTATTTCTGGTTCTAGATCCTTGAGGCATTGCCACACTGTCTTCCACAATGGCTGAACTAATTTACACTCCCACCAACAGTGTAAAAGCATTCCTATTTCTCCACATCCTCTCCAGCATCTGTTTTTTCCTGGCTTTTTAATGATCGCCATTCTAACTGGCATGAGATGCTATCTCACTGCGGTTTTGATTTGTATTTCTCTAATGACCAGAGATGATGACCTTTTTTTCCTATGTTTGCTGGCCGCATAAATGTCTTCTTTTGAGAAATGTCTGTACATATCCTTTGCCCATATTTTGATGGGGTTGTTCATATTTTCTTGTAAATTTGTTAAGTTCCTTTTAAATTCTGGATATTAGTTCTTTGTCAGATGGATAGATTGCAAAATTTTTTTCCCATTCTGTAGGTTGCCTATTCACTCTGGTGATAGTTTCTTTTGCTGTGCAGAAGCTCTTTAGTTTAATTAGATCCCATTTGTCAATTTTGGCTTTTATTGTCATTGCTCTTGGTGTTTTATTCATGAAGTCTTTGCCCATGCCTATATCCTGAATGATATTGCCTAGGTTTTCTTCCAGGATTTTTATGGTTTTAGATCTTACATTTAAGTCTTTAATCCATCTTGAGTTAATTTTTGTGTAAGGTATAAGGAAGGCGTCCAGTTTCAGTTTTCTGCATATGGATAGCCAGTTTTCCCAACACCATTTGTTAAATTAGGGAATCCTTTCCCCACTGCTTGTTTTTGTCAGGTTTGTCAAATATCAGATGGTTGTAAATATGTGGTATTATCTCTGAGGCCTCTATTCTGTTCCATTGGCCTATATATCTGTTTTGGTACCAGTACCATGCTCTTTTGGTTACTGTAGCCTTTTAGCATAGTTTGAAGTCAGGTAGTGTGATGCCCCCAGCTTTGTTCTTTTTGCTTAGGATTGTCTTGGCTATATGGGCTCTTTTTTGATTCCATATGAAATTTTAAGTACTTTTTTTTCTAATTCTGTGAAGAAAGTCAATGGTAGCTTGATGGGGATTGCATTGAATCTATAAATTACTTTGAGCAGTATGGCCGTTTTCATGATATTGATTCTTCCTATCCATGAACATGGAATGTTTTTCCATTTGTTTGTGTCCTCTCTTATTTCCTTGAGCCATGGTTTGTAGTTTTCCTTGAAGAGGTCCTTCACATCCCTTGTAAGTTGTATCCCTAGGTATTTTATTCTCTTTGTAGCAATTGTGAATGGGAGTTCACTCATGATTTGGCTTTCTATTTGTCTATTATTGGTCTATAGGAATGTTTGTAATTTTTGCATAATAATGGTTAAGGAAGATAATTCATAAAGATAAAGGAATAAAAAAGTAGAAAACTTCAAATAAACAACCTACTGATGTATATTAAGACTAGAAAAACACAACAGCAAACCGAACACAAAATTTATAGGAAAAAGAAATGACAGAAGAGCAGAAATAAATGAAATTGAATCAAAGAAAACACAAAAGATGAATAGAAGGAAAAGTCACTTTTGTAAAAGACAAAGAAAACTGACTAAGAACAAAATGAGAGAAGGTTCAAATAAACTAGAGATGAAACATGAGACATTACAAACGATTCAGCAGAAATCCAAAGAATCATCGATGAGTTGGAACATTCATCAAAAAAGACCATATTCTTTGTCATAAAACACAAAGTAACACATTTAGTAGGATAGAAATTATACAAAGTATCTTCTCATATCACAGAGGAATCAAATAGAATAGGAAACCAGAAAAACAGCTGGAAAAATCCCCAAATATCTGGAAAGTAAACAACATAATTCTAAGTAACCCATGGTTTGAACAATAAATCTGAAGAGAAATTTAAAAAATATTTTGAACTAAGTAAAATGAAAATACAACTTATCAAGATTAGTGCAATATATTGGGTTTATCTTCCTAAGTCAATAGATTTGGCAGTGATAATATTAGATAGCAGAGGTCACTGTTGGGTCACCATGGGTTTGGAGGCGATCGCTTCACATTTTTTATTCTTTTAACAACTTTTTGATCAGTAACATATGATCAGAAATTGAGACAACTATAACTCTTGAAACTTTATCACTGAAATGTAAAGGAGTCAATCATTCATATCTTTCATTATTGTCATGGAATTTACAATTCTGGATTCCATTTATTCCCTAATCTAGAAGCAGTGAGTCATTATTATATAATAAAATAAGGCCCTTTTACTTTTACTCTTTATTTAGCAGGGCTCTTTATATACAAAAGATGTCACCAAATAAACATGTATCTTGATCTAATCACAGGAAAACACTGTCTTTTCTGCAGTTAGATATAAATAGTCTTGATATGTACCAATATGGTTTGTCATTAATGATCTTGGCTTCCTAAGAGTTTCATAAGAAACATAAAGTAAATGTTTTGTTTATCATTTGAGGAATTATATCCATGAATTCCATGTGCCACTCTTGATTTTCCCCACTATGGTTTCATTAGTGGAGGCAAAGTCCATTGCCTGGACTTCTTCCACGTCTAGCACTACAGAGTTGTTTGTTACATCAATGTCAACTCTTAATTAGAAGTTAATAACCAGAAGAAACTTATTGAAAGTCTCCTCACTACCACCACTATCATAATCTTTGTAATTTGGAAATTACTTGATACACAAGTTCTGCCATGTTTACCTCAGATGAGCCTTTTATGCACATCTTTTCCCATCTCTGTTTATATTTTTTTGAAAAAGACTATGAGATAGTCCTCAAGACATTTGCCTTTTGAGCTATGGATTCTTTTCAATTTGCTTATTGGAGACATGATTATTATTATTATTATTAATTTTTTTTGATGGAGTTTCGCTCTTGTTGCCCAGGCTGGAGTGCAATGGCGTGATCTCGGCTCACTGCAAATTCCACCTCCTGGGTTCAAGCGATTCTCCTGCTTCAGCCTTCTGAGTAGCTGGGATTACAGGGATGTGCACCACGCCCGGCTAATTTTGTGTTTTTAGTAGAGACGGGGTTTCTCCATGTTGGTCAGGCTGGTCTCGAATTCCGGACCTCGGGAGATCTGCTCGCCTCAGCCTCCCAAAGTGCTGGGATTACAGGTGTCAGCCACCACGCCCTGCCAAGTGACACTATTCTTTTGGATAATTATCACTGGTAATGAGGCTGCCCATTACCTTTTTCCCAATAACTGACTTCATATTTTGAGAACAAATCCAAAATATTTTGAGTTCATATTCCCCGCATCCGTTAATTTTCCTCCATTCGATTTCATTACTATTAACTCTGGCTACGTACATGGTAATTATTTAATGATGAGTATATGTATGCTTGCATGTGCACACATGTGTGTACAAATTTTAAGTGTCAGTGACATGAAGAATGAAACTTGCATAATTAATTCGATAGATGGTAAATATGAACATGACTGTAAGGTAGTTATTTAGGGGTTAGTTTTTTTCTAATGTCCTTTCCCAAATTCCTTGATTGTTTATTGAATTATATATTAGAGAATAAATATTCACAGAAAATATATTTTTCAATTCTAGCCCAGAGTCTGTAAATTATGAACTTTCATAAGTTTTAACCTCCCCTGGTCCTCAATTTGCATCCCTGAGTGAAATCTATTCACTTGAAACGATAAATATTTTTAAGCAATTTTCATGCTCAAATGGTCATGAAATTGAGGGGGCTTTCAGCTTCAGCAAGTCATATACATTTCCTGTTTTCCTTAACTCACTTTTCGTTGTGCAGATGTGGCATGTGTTCCTACGTTACTAATAAGGGGAATCCTTTTTGCAAGTAGGCACCATTAGGAAGAATTTTACATTAAATTATTTTCAACTTTACTTAAAGGAAATGAAGAACAATTCAAAATGCCATGAAATATAAAGCTTATATCAAAACATCACCATTAAAAACATATGGAATAAAAATTTTCATTTCTTCATTTTGAGCTCAAAGACAATAATTAGTATTAATCCAAGAAAGGATACTATAAATAATAGACACTATTATGTAATTGTTTTCTATTTTATATTACCTGTCATGCTTTTGTTAACACTAAAACATTATTAAATACCTATAACATATTAATAATAGCCTCACCATGTTGTTTCCTAGTGTTTTTCATGTATTATTTTTTTTATTCTCACAAAAAACCTACCAAAGCAAAATCATTATTATTTGTATATTACAGATTTGGGAAAAAATTGAGAGAAGTCATACAACCTACATAAATTCTGGATTAAGTGTGCTTAATTCTCACACTATATTTTGTCTCCTCTTCTTACATATTTCCTTCAAAATAGATCAACCAGGACATGAGATCAGCTATTTATTGTCTATTTTAAAATTTTCTTCAAAATTGGTTAATATTCCTATACATATATTTGTCATTATATGTTTTTATTTAAGATTATTAAACTGTAACATGTGCATTGATTTTCACTTTATTTTGCATATGTTGTGAATACAAATAGTGTGAATTCTAAACTTTATCGAGGTTTAATGATGCAATGATGCTATATTAAACATAGGGAGGTCACATATTCTAAATGAAATTTAGCTGATCATAATGCATGATAAAAATATATTTATTCTGCACTTTTTCAGTGGACCAGTCAGGACTATGACAAAGAGATACTTCATGAGACTGATTTATGGGAAGAGAATAAAATTAGGAGAAAGTTGAAGATATTATTATAATCTTGCTGGAATCATATTTGTTTTTAAAAAAGGTTTTACAAAAAATTTATCTCTGTGTAAGGCTTGGATAAGGTTAATACTGTTTTTATAATGTCATCAGTCCTCTTATGTTTAATGATAAATTTTCCAAGATTTACTCAGGCCATTGAAGTCTCTAACCTGGTACATTATGTTAGAACCCTACAGGAATACAACTTTTAGGAAAGTGTTTTGAGCTCCTAAATCATTTTTAAAATGGTTACTTAAGAAATGTTTATATGATGCATCATTTTCCTATTAACATTGTCTCTAAAATACATTACCCAAATAGATAATATTTGAAATGCAACAAGTTATATAGCTTCATAAATTATTTATGGACCAGAAGGCTCTATACGAATGTGCGATATCACATACACACAACGATATTCAATAAGTATAATAAATAACAGTGTAAAACCTATTTTCGTAGGGAAACGATACATAAGTAATAATACCTGCTTGAATGGAGTCCTTTTTTTCATAAAACAATATAAGATAACTTGATTTCCAGGTTTCTCTTTTAATAGTTTATAAATATGAAATGATGAAGTCCAGATGAAGTCCAAAATATGTACAATTTCATATCTTACATTTGTAAACTACACTAATGTGCTTCAATTTTGTTTAAAAATGCATATTGAGCAATGATTATTATCAATAATTTTATCTTTAAAAAAATGTTATGAAGAGAAGGGGATCTCACTGTGTTGCCCAGGCTGGTCTTAAACTCCTGGCCTCAAGTGATCCTCCCTCAGTCTCCCAAAAAGCTGTGAGTATAGCTTTGAGCTACTGCACCTGGTTGATTACGTGCAATTTTTAAAGGCAATTTATATGAAAGAAACTACTAGTAACTCTCTCTGTTATATAACATATCACATTCCATTATGATAGTTGCCTGAATATTCTATGACACCCCCTTCCTTTTTTTTATTTTCCTTAAATGTAAAGATGTTTGGAGATGGAATATTTGGGTGATAGTAATACATTTTAAGAGCAAAACTGATAATATTAGTAGATGTTGGACATGAGGAGAATTGACTTTGACAGAAGAATATTTCAGTGTTGTTAAGAACATAACGACTTATTAGGAAAAGGCACCATTCAAATTATTCAAACTGGTTAATATGGTATTTTCAGGAATACCTTTTTTAATTGAAACTATTATGTTTTTAGAAAAAAACAAAATGCTTTATTTTTGAAGGTGTTTTTACGTGAAGACAAGAGAAACAGTCATAAGAGGTCTCCTCATCAGCTGTAAAAGTCTGTACAACCATCCATGGCCCTTGGATAAATCAGAATTTAATCAAGATTAGTAGGTATCATTTCCCACACCATCTTTATACAAAATTTACTTCCGCACATAAATTTGTCATATTTATCTTAAATTGTTCTTACATATATATATACATACACATATATGTATATATGTATATTGACTTTCTATATCTATATATATACACATATGTATATATGTATATTGATTTTCACTTTATTTTGCATGTGTTGTGAATACAAATAGTGTGAATTCTAAACTTTATCAAGGTTTAATGATGTGTACATCATTACATCACGTATATGTGTATGTACAATGATGTGTACATACACATTTATGTGTATGTATATATATAGAGAAGTGTATGTATATATATGTATATATATATACACATGTATGTATATATATGTATATATATACACATGTATGTATATATATGTATATATATACACATGTATGTATATATATGTATATATATACACATGTATGTATATATATGTATATATATACACATGTATGTATATATATGTATATATATACACATGTATGTGTATATACACATATATGTATGTATATATATGTACATATATGTGTATGTATATGTGTGTGTATATACATATTTTCTTTTCTAATGGCCATTGTTATAAAGACATCCAGAGGCTAACTTAAGAGCTCATAGAGATTTTAGGATTCAACCACATTTTGGTATTTGCAGAGCCGAGGAAGACTTCATACCATATGTCCACATATTTCAAAATATAAGTAATGCACCAAATTATTAAAACATTCCTTCTGCCTTGGTAAATATGTTAATTATACAAAATTTAAAAATATGCAGTTGTATTATGACTTAAAACATGAATTTATCAAAGATAAGTATATTTAATTATTTTGATTCTGCTGATACCTGTGTCAAAGCAAAAATTACATGGGGCAAAGTTAAACAGGCAAGGAAGAATGTATTCAAGGCTAATACATTAGGAGAGGGAGACTGCAACCTAGATTCCACTCCACTGAAATAGAGGCCTGGAGAGTTTTAAAGAGCTAAGTTAGGATGGGGAATAGGGAGGGATTGTAGGACATGTGTGTTTATTAAAAGTAAACTTTCTCATACTGTCATAGTAGGAAATAGTTTTATAAGTAAGATAAAAGTATCCACAGAAGATAGGCTCCTACTCACAGAGAGTAAGAGATAAGGGTTCTATCTTCTTTCATAATTATATTTCAAAGGCATGGCTGTCATATTCTTGAAAAAGACAGTCCTGGATTGTAAAATTGGCCAGAGGCTTTTTACAAAGTTTTACATCTCATAGGGGCAGAGAAAATTTATAATGGCAAGTTTTTAAAAGTAAATACTTCAAGAAAAGAGAAGGAAGAGACCTCTGAGATTACTTTATTTGGATTTACATATTGTAATGGTCAGGGTGAGAGCAAGGTCTAGAGATGGGAAGAAACATGTCTGTAGTTTAGTCAAGCTGAGGAAAACAGTATGCTTATCTTTGTTACTTGGATAAGTAATAAAATAAAAATCTGCATTATTTATAAAATATTACTTATATATTTTTTGCATTTATTTAGTCAAAATGACTATTAACAATAATTCCCTAAAAAAGTCAAAATCAAGACATAATTATGTTTGAAATATAAAAATTGAATGTAAAATAAATTTAAAATTAAAAAAATTAAACTATTATACATGTTTTTCTTCAAATGTTATATTAATATTGAAAGGAAAATATACATTATAGTTGAGTCATAGTTTTTTTATCTAAATAATTAAAATTGAATATTTAAAAGTGAATTTATAAAAACATAATTACAAGTCTTTAAAAATATCTTGATAAAAATGAAATGGCTTTACTTACAATTCTAATGTTCAGTGTCTCTATAGATGGCTATGTTAAGAATTGGGACCATGTATCTTGAATGTTTTATCTAGATCTATCTATCCAATTTTCAGAATAACGTGATTTATAAAATAGGGCAAAATGTTTCTCAGCCACTTTGTACAAAAGATTCTCAATTCCTTCAGACAAACTGGAACACAAAAATAAGCAAGAAAATGGACATTAATCTCAACTGAGAAGTGATACAGTTGAACCTCAGTATCCCTGAATTTTGCATTCGAGCATTCAGTTGACAATGGATTGAAAACCCATGGATACAGAGGACCAACTGTATTGAAAAAAAAAATTGAACAGAAAATCAGGTACAACAGCACTAGTGTGTGTATATTTGGAGTTATTGACGGAGGTGGGGAGGACTAGAATAAAACATATTTGAAATAACTGTGGCTGAAAACATTCATTTTAAAATTACATCAGTTTGTTTTTGCTTTTGTTTTTGTTTTGCAATAATCTATTTTTATCCCTGAAACTGAGAAAAAATTATTTGATAATGGATTTATCTTTTAACTGTTTCTGTAATTCAGATCCTCCACATTCACAAGCAGTGTCTGATTCCAGGTTCAGTAGCAGCAGAATCCACAGACTTTCATGCTTTGGGATTATCACCTTTGGCTTTGAGGATGTGGATCTGCATGTTGGTAATGACAGAGAATGTTCCAATATATGATGTCCTTGAGCGCAGCACTGAATTTAAATGTCATCTATATTTTCTTCAATGTATTTATTTCATATATGTGCTTGTGATATACAGGTTTATCTAGAGTGTGAGGGCCACAATAATGGTTCCTCTTACCAGTGTCTATGTAGACAGTTAATCCCAGACTAAATTCTATGAGGTATAGAATCACTATTACGGTATACTCTTAATTTTTTATTAAAATTTTAAACCATTTACCTGAACTTTGTTCTAATGATACTGTTGTTTTGATAATAACAATGAATTAAAAACCTGTGTGGGTCTAAGAGAAATGTGTGGGATACTATGTTCAATTATCTGAATGTTGAGAAATAAAGGCATTAATCTGTCTGTATTTGGTTTATACGTTTATTGAATCCACATAGCATTCTTTGACCTATACAATTAAGACAAATAGCACGTTTCGATGAATTTTTCATTGTAATAATTCATATCTATCAGCCAATTTTTACTTAGTGAGACTATGTACTTGATAGAAATGTTAATATTTGCTAGAATAATGCTGCTGTTTTTCACAGGCTAAAAATATTAGGAATGGAATCAAATAAGAGAAAGAGATCAAACTCAGAAATGAGAAATTGACTGTGTTTTTGTTTTTAAGTTATAAATCAAAAATAATGTTTATATCACTCCAAAGCTTCATAGTTATCTAGTCATAGCAGGTTTTTGTTTTGTTTTGTTTTGTTTTGTTTTTGATACAGAGGTCTTGCTATGTTGCTTAGGCTGGACTTGAACTATGGGGCTCATGAAATTCCCCCACCTGTCTCAGCTTCCTGAATAGCTGGGCTGCAGTGTCTGGCCTATTAGATGATATTTTAGTAAATGACTTGACTGACGGTTGTAAATTTCTCCATCAAACTAAAGTGAAATGTTTGGCTCCAATAAAATATATTCATTCTAATTAAAAGTGTATGGCACAAATCCATTGTGAATACTTGAACTATGTGTTAAAATATTCCTGAGCATAGTAGTAATATGTAAAAGGCCAGCAAGAAAATTCGAACTAGGAGGTAAACAATCTCTGAGAATATTGTATCAAATTTGAGAACATTAAACTCTTACAAGATAGGAGTGTTTTTGAATAAAACTGATACATCCTGTAAAGAAAAGTATACTCTAAATCATATCCATGTATACAATTAAGAGGCTGTAGAGCCATTGAGCATGAATTACCACAAGTAATAAGGTATAGTCCGTTTCCCAAGTAATTGCTTGTTACTTGTTATCTTAGGTACACCAGCAGTCAAGGTGCTGGCATATGACATAGACCTCTTCAATCACTTGCACCTTTTGGAGTTGGAAATACAAAAACTAGTAAGTGTGAGGAAGCTGTTCTCCTGAGGTCTGCACCAGGGAAGACAGCTACATCTACATTCGGGTGGCAGCACTGGAAATGGTTTGAGCAATGCTCTCAGTGTGCAGAGCTGGTGGAATCAGAGATGCATATTGAAGCGTCTGTACTAAATGACAGCTATGGTCTGAATGTATCCCCCCAAATTCAAGCATTGAAAACTTAATGCCCAATGCAACAGTGTTGGGAGGTGGGGCCTAAAAAGAGGTGAATACGTCATGAGGGATCTGCCCTCATGAATGAATTTATGTTTTTATCTCATGAGTGTAGTCATCACAGCAGTGGGCTTTTTATAAAAGCAAGTTCGGCTTCCTCTTGCTCTCTGGCTCTCTTATCCTTTAGCCTTGTACCACGGAATGATGCAAAAAGAAGGATCTCATCAGATTTGGGTGTCCCTATGTTGAAATTCTCATGCTACACAACTGTAAGAAATAATTTTTTAATAAATTAACCAATATATGGTATTCTATTATAACAGAATGAAATGGACTAACACAAGGACATTATTAGCAAAGGAGCATTGGTGCATTTATTATGTGATATAACTAACTTTTGATGTTACCCTTGGCTACATAGCCTCTGAAGTTGATTCCAGAGATCCCCCATAACTTGTGTAAGCTATCAACATTTTTATCTGAATTCCCTTTCTGTTTAAATTAGCCAAAACAAATATCTGATGCTTGCAATTAATAATCCTGATGAATGTAAGGAACAGATTAATTAAAATACTTAAAACACTGTCTTCTAAAAATAAAACTTCCCCATAGTTCAAAACTCTTTATGTCCTTAATTATATAAATAAATGTGATATACACTTATTATATGTGACTTTCTATGGTAGAGCTAGCAATTTTTTAAGTACCTTGATTCTCATGCTTTATTGTGGTTATTCTTTTGTTTTTAACCAGATTATAACTGCTTATTGACAATTGGAAAGCATTTACTCATGTGAATCCCTAAAGGAACCAGCTTTATTTCAAGTCAAAGCTTTTATAAAAACATCTTTGTAAAATTATCTCCTTATCTGTTGTTTATTTCATTATAATTGATATATTTCATTATATCATTATATCAATAAACAGTGAGTTTGCCATTGTAATCATCCATTTATGTACACAGTCTGCTTTCTGTATTTGCAGGTTTTACACTCACAAATTTAACCACAGATGAAAAATATTTATAAAAAATGAAATATCAAACAACAATAAAAAATATAAAAAACCAAATGTTTTAAAATAAATTTACATAGCATTTACATTGTATTTAGTGCTACAAGTAATCTAGAGATGATTTAAGGTTTACGTAAAAACTTGAACATTCATAAATTTTGTTATCCATAGGAGTCCTGTAACCAATTCCCTGGTTAGAGATGACTATACATTTTATATATCTATATCAACATCTATCTAGCTGTCTATAAAGAGAGCATTTTTTGTAAATAAAATAAATGAAAGAGGCTCTTTAAATATTTTTCAAGTCAAGTATCTTGAGGAATGAATTAAATTGTCCAGACAATGCCTCTACTTTATAAATAGTTCACTTTTTCTCCATGCCTGACACCATGGGTACTTTATTAAAGGCACTTAAAGCTATGATGTTAAGCTTAAGATTTTGCCCTACAATTTGTGTTTAAGCACTAAATTTTGTTTTTGTTTTTGTTTCCCAGTCTCAATTTCTTTCTTTGATAATTAGGTTTTCAATCTCTGTCCCTCTGCCCTCTCCCCTTTCCCCTGTTCTTTGTATATGAAAGCTTTATTGCAAGGTTTTCCTGAGCATAACTGTGGTTTTTCCCCAAGACGCTACTTCTACCTTGCTCCCGACATCTTCAGGAAAGGCAGCCAGTGAGTTGTTCAGCTATATCTGTCCTTGATGCAGGTTTGCTGCATGCTGCACCTAGCCCAAGCCTCACTCCATGGGCTCCAGTTTGGGGGAGGAGATAATCTGACAAGAATAACTTAATAGCCAGAGGCAGCCTGAGCACCAAGTACATAGTTGCCAGGACAGCAGAAATGCTAAGTTTACCTTAAGAGATGAGCAGCTTTTTAAAAGTGTCTAGCTGCAGGGAATTAAAGCTTCCAGATGGCAGAATTGCTGCTGATCTGCATCCAGACACTCCACCCTGCAATTCCTTAAGACATAGCCCTATTTTCAGCAATTCTAACCTTAAATTTAAAAGACAGTCTTCTTTCCTTACCCACTTTACCTTTTTTCTACCCTCACAAAATGTGTAGGACGCACTTATTTTTTTCTTTGCAAATTTTAGGTACAAACATTTAAAAATAGTATGTGTAATTTAGTTTGGAAAATAATGAAATAGATCCAGAAGAATAGAACTATTTACTCTCTCACACACACACTTGAGTCAAATAGTGCAAATAATTATACCTGCCTAGGCTTCAGGTCACTCTTTGGAAAAAATTATTGTTTACGATATTCTGTGAGAGCAAAAGTTACAGTTCCTTGATTTAATAAAGAGCTACTGTAAAAGACTCTAAAATTCTAATGCAAAATATGTAATGTCCTACGATCTCACCATCTGGAGATCAGACTCTTGGCAACTTGAAACACAGGCATGATTCCAAACTTAGAATAATTCAAAATGGTTCTGGGTATTAAATATAGACTTCAGATGTCCCAGTCACTGTACTTCCTTCATTAAAGATGAATTAAAACTATATCATAAGGCTTAAGAAAGTTGTTCGTAAATGAACACAAAAGTGAAATATTTTATTTCTAAACAAAACCAGGTAAATATTAAAAGGCCTCAGAAGTATATCATCTTTTATCTTAATAACCCATTGTTTCAGAACCATTTATTAGATAAACTGTTCTCTTTCTACTGATTTGTAAAATCATCTCTGTCACAGACGGAATTCCTCTAAATGTGTAGGTCTGCTTCTAGGTTCTTTATTCTGTATCTGTGATCTATTTCTCTATGTTTATTTCATAATAACATAGTTTGAATTACTAAGCTAATAGCATGTCTCGAAATTTGACAGAGACATTTCCGTATTTTATTCTGCAAATTGTCCTGCCTATTCTTAGCCATTTACTTTTATGTTACAGTTAGGATAGGCTTCTTGAGTTCCTTTAAAAAGAAAACATGGGAGCCGTATTTCATGGTTTCTATTATGTATTGTGATGACCAAGGCAATGAGACAATTGAAAAGTAAATGTTAAAAACACAAACAAAGGCCAGGCCGGGCACGGTGGCTCACGCCTGTAATCCCAGCACTTTGGGAGGCCCAGGTGGGTGGATCACTTGAGGTCAGGAGTTCAAGACCAGTCTGGCCAACATGGTGAAACCTCGTCTCTACTAAAAATACAAAAAGTTAGCCAGGCATGGTGGCAGATACCTGTAATCCCAGCTACTCAGGAGGCTGAGGCAGGAGAATCACTTGAACGCTGGAGGCGGAGGTTGCAGTGAGCCAAGATCGAGCCATTGCACTCCAGCCTGGGGAACAAGAGTGAAGCCCCGACTCAAAAAAAAAAAACAAACCACTAACATAAAAATGAGAATAAAACATTTTGTTGATGATACATTTTGAATTGCTGGTAAATAGAAATTATCAAATTTTAAATGTTGATCTTGTATCCTGAAAAGTTCACTTGTCCATCTTATACTAACATTTTAAAAGTTCTCATATAAAAATTAGAGTTTATTCTCCTTTTTATATTTATGTTTTTAACATTTACTTTTCTATTATTTAATTGCATTGTTCAGGACAATACATCATAGAAACCATGAAATATGTCTTGCTCTTAAATTTAGTAGGAATTTATTCCATAGTATCTTTATTATTAGTGATTGTTTCTGTATATATTAGATGGCCTTAGTTATGTTAATAAAGTTCATTTTGATTCACAGTTTGCTAAGAACCTGTCTTTAATGCCATGAATGTGTACTGAATTATATTAAGTGCTTTTCAGCATGTATTGAGGTAATTTTTTTAATGTCAATTAATTTGATGTATTACACTGTCAGATTTTTGAAGTTGAACTATATTTCTATGCCATCAACAATATTTGTTTCCATTTTTTAACTCCATATTTTTGAACTATTATTTAGAATGTCTATATTTGAATAGTGAATGAGATTGAGATTATCTCTCTATCTCTGTATTTATCTGGGGCCTAATTAGCTTAGGACAATCAGGGATAAACCTGTAGTTTAAGAAAGCCAGGGATGATGACTTATACCAGGGAAATCACAGTCTAAAGCCACCACGGACATCTCACGAAAAACTGGAAAACATAAAGTAATTATGAGACTTTGGAGAAAGTTTGAATTTATGTAAAATTTAATTGAAGTGTTTTGATTGGCTCAAATCAAAGTAGGTCTGTTTGTAAAGGGGTCAATGTGAACATGGGACTGCAAGGGGAATCCAGACTTCTCTTTCTTTGAAAACTATAAACTAATGATGAATGTGAAATGCTGTGTTCATAAACCCCTTATCTGACGTTCCCCAACAGGACTGGAAATCAAGACAGCTTCTCTGTGTCAAAGCCCCAGGTAGATCCGCCAGGTAAGACTAAGATAGTGCATTTATACTGATGTAATTTTAAACAACAGAGTTTCTGGTAGTTTTCCATTTTGGAAATAGAGAACAAAATTTTGCTATAAATAAGAAAGAAATAGTCACTCAAACGTATGCTATGATTCTTTAAAGTTGCAGAGTGATCTTGGCCAAAAAAAAAAAGTTACTTGTTAACTCAGTAGCTAGCTTTATCTTCACCTGTCATTCCAGCCTGATTAATGCAAGAGCAGATTTATGCTTTCCCATTTGTAGCTGATTATCTGTCTCTCTCTCCACTTCTCATATATATTTGTATTTATACATGTATACAAACATGCATACATTTATATATCAACACATACGTACATTGGTAATAATACATTTATATTATAAACTAATGAGATATTATAAATTCACAGACTAACAGTTTCATACAGACATAAACACACATATAATAATTTTATACTTTTACTGTTCCTGCCTGTTTTAATACCAAATATTTAATTGTCTGCAAAACTTCAGTTATATTGATGTCCCACTTTAGAAAAGTGTAATCATCCACATTGTTAACAACGTGCTTTCTATTTTTTGTTTTCAATGTTATAGTTTCAAGAATATAGATATGTGTAGAAGATAATCTAATAAAATAAAACCACCTGTGGTCCTACTAACACGCTTCAAAAAGTATTGTCATTTTGCTAATTATGCTTCATATTTGCTTTTCTTTAAGGAACATAATGTTACAGACATTGCTAATATCTCCTAATCCTAATCTCCTCTACCCCCCCTACCCATTGTTAGCAACTGAATTTTAGTTATGCACAAACATATACATAAACAGAGTGAAATATATATATAAATATATAAATATGATTAAAATGAAGAACAATCACTGAAAAACAAAAAGAATACATAAACGCACACATATATACACACACACATACAGATATATTATTTTCGTTTTTCAGTGACTCATTTTCATTTTCATGATAAGTAATTGATAGTTTGTTGTTGTTGTTGTTTTTAGGCAGAGTCTCGCTCTGTAACCCAGGCTGGAATGCGATGGCATGATTTCGGCTCACTGCAATCTCAGCCTCCCGGGTTCAAGAGTTTCTCCTGCCTCAGCCTCCCAAGTTTGTAAAGCCTCTTTACAAACAGCCCTACTTTGATTTGAGCCAATCAAAACACTTCATTTAAATTTTACATAAATTCAAACTTTCTCCAAAGTCTCATAATTACTTTATGTTTTCCAGTTTTTCGTGAGATGTCCATGGTGGCTTTAGACTGTGATTTCCCTGGTATAAGTCATCATCCCTGGCTTTCTTAAACTACAGATTTATCCCTGATTGTCCTAAGCTAATTAGGCTCCAAATAAATACAGATAAAGAGAGAGAATCTCAATCTCATTCACTATTCAAATATAGACATTCAAAATAACAGTTCAAAAATATGGAGTCAAAAAATGGAAACAAATATTGTTGATGGCATAGAAATATAGTTCAACTTAAATCCCAAGGATTACAGGTGTGCGCCACTGTGCTCAGTAAATTGTTTTATTTTTAGTAGAGATGGGGCTTCACCATGTTGGTCAGGCTGGTCTCAAACTCCTGACCTCAGGTGATCTGCCCACCTCGGCCTCCCAAAGTGCTGAGATTACAAGCATGAGCCACCACGCCTGTCCAATAGTCTTTATATCCATTCTTATTTATTTTATTACTTACTATCATTGTTTTATAACATCTTGGAAATTTGTGGTGGTGTTTGATTCCATTTTTTTTGCTTATTTTAGTTGTCATGTTTTTGTTTTAGTAAGCTAACCATGTTTATTTCAAGTTTTATTTTCACTTATATCCGTTATTATTTTTGTCAAAATTATATTTCAATTCCTGTTTTGGTAATAGATTTAGTCATCTGTTTCCTCAAAATCTTCATGAATTTTGATTTTCAGCTTTACTAGGGGTGGAACACTTATTTTCTCTCCTTTTTGTCCTGTCTTTTCTGCATTGACATTTGTCTAGTAGTTTCGTATTTTCTTATTTTTAGTTTCTGTGGAGTTACCACTTTTGAAATATATTGAAGGACTTTAACTATCTCCCTTTTCTTAGAGGGATGGGAATATTGAAAATAAATTAGATCCAATGAGCAAGCCATCAGTAAATTTGCCAAATTTTGGATATAATGTGTTGTACTCTTGTCCACATTTGTAGCTCCAAATAAGTCATTGCTCAAATAGCCCTTAGCTTGAATTTTTCTTTAGATGTGTTCTTGAGTAGGGGAACCCCTTCCCATTTCTGGATGCAGGTATTCTGTATCAAGCTCTTTTTATCTGTCTGCCACTGATATAAATAACTTTGAATTTCCATTGTTCTACACTTCTTGCCATATCTACCTGCTTTTGGAAGACAGACCTCAGCAGCCTATACTTTCTGCCTTGTTCAGTGCTTTGAATTTTAAATCACAGATATCCTCGTTTTTAAATGTAGCACTGTGTTGTTTTAATTCATCAACCATTGCTATATGTTTGCAGTAATGGATAAGGCAGAATTTTCCCCAACATAGTCTAATAACACCATCATATAAATGAAGCATATTTACCTTATTTTCATATTTATAGTGGAAACCCCTATAATTGCTTTACCATTGTGTGTGTTACATCCCTACTATTTTCCCAGAGGTAAGTTTTGTTGAATGAATAAATGAATGAATGAATAAAAATTAACAAATGAACATTTCTTGACTTGGTAGAGAAATATTACAAGAAAAACTTATGGTATTATTATCATTTACTTACAATATTCACATGTAATTCAGGTGCTGTATCTTATTTGATAATTAAAGTTACGTGTGTTTTAGATTCCTCTTATTTTACTTGAATGATTTCCTTTTGAAAATGGTTAGTTCCCTGTTAGATAAATATTTAAGAAAAATAAGACAATATTTTCCTAAGGATGTGAGAGTTTGAAACTGGACTTAACCTAATGGCACAAAAAATATTCTTTCTCTACTGAGAAAGCTAACTATATTTTAAACTTCTTATTAATACAAATAATTATTTTGGATCCTCTAAAGGAAATACATTTTAAACTATTTTTAATATTAGAAAGGATTTGAAAAGGCATTTCTACTAAGTATATTTCTGTTAAATAAGATCATGTAATTTTCTTTCTGAAACAAGACTTAATTTGAAACAAGAGTCTCATAGAAATATTGCTCAACATACCAGTGACATCGTAAAATAATGAAATCATTTGAACATAAATGGAATTGTTAAATTTAATTTTATAGAAATGTTCAACTTACTTTTTATTTTATTAAAATAATGGTGAGCTAGGAAATTAATTTTTTAAAATATTGTATATTATCACCCTTAGAATACAAACATTTATAACACAGCCTTTCAAATATTCTATGAGTATACATACGCTATTTTCTGACATTTTAATGTTACAAATATATTCCTATGCCTGTTTAAATGCAGCGACACCCCTTTCTTACCAACTATTGTTTGTATTTTTCTTTGTTGTTTATTCCTAGCATGAGCTGCTTCATGATTGATGATCCAGCAAGCTGTTACAACCATTCAGAGAGCACGCTGTGTCTTCATTTTTACCCTATTAACTTAAATGCCAGGGTTCATTGGCACATTACAGTTGCTAAAATTCAATCTGACCAACCACATGGAAGAAAAAAAGACTGAAAATTTAGTCAGAAATCTCTCGGTATATACGTATCCATCACATTACTTATGAAAGTTGTCTGGTCCAAAATACAGGCTTTGCCATCTGTGGTAATAAATCTAATGGCAAACTTCACATGGTTACCTGTGATCATGCTTAAAAACAGACACACATCTGATAATGCCATTACTGTAGTTAGAAATGTTTGACCACACCGAAGCTTTTTAAAAAATTACCAGAAATAAGTTAAACTTCATCCATAAATATATAAATAAATGCAAACTTAATGGTTATTGTCTCTAAATCTATCCTCATGCTCTTATTTTACCTAGCTGTATCTCTTACTCTACACTGCTGGGAAATTCTAGGCTCTATATTCCCGCAATACAGACCATAAATAGTCCTGCCACCATGTCACCTACTTTACCTCTATGTCTTTGTTCAGGTGATTTTCATTTTTGGAATATTCTCTTTTTAACCGTAGAACAACTAAAATCCTACCTATCCCTCAAGGTCTGGTTGTAAACATTAGTGCTACTTGCAGGCTACCTCAGTTCTGAAGACGGAGTTGTTATCTTCCTCCTTCGTTCTCACAAACGACTTCATATCTACTGATATAGCTAGGATATTTGTTCCTGCCCAAGTCTGATGTTGAATTGTAACCCACAGTTCTGGAGGTGGGGTCTGGTGGGAGGTGTTTGAATCATGGGGGCAGATTCCTCATGGCTTGGTGCTGTCTTCATAATAGTGAGTTCTCGGGACTTCTGGTAATTTGAAAGTGTGTGTGGCACCTCTTCCCGGACTCACTCTTTCTTGCTCCTGTTTTCACCATGGGACATGCAAGCTTCCACTTCACCTTCTGCCATAAGTAGAAGCTTCCGAAGGCCTCACTAGAAGCCATGTTTCCAGTACAGCCTGCAGAACTGTGAGCCAATGTATTGGCCCATTCTCATGCTGCTATGAAAAAATACCTGAGACTGGGTAATTTACAAAAGAAGGAGGTTTTAAATTGACTCATGGTTCTGCATGGCTGGGGAGGCTTCAAGAAACTTACAATCATAGCAGAAGGCAAAGGAGAAGTAGGTACCTTCTTCACAGGGCAGCAGGACTGAGTGAGCGCAAGCAGCGGAAATGGCAGATGCTTATAAAACCATCGGATCTCTTGAAACTCACTATCATGAGGACAGCATGGGGGAAACCACACCCATGATCCAAATACCTCCACCCTTGATCCAAAGGATGACACGTGGGGATTAGGGAGTATGATGGTTCATACTGAGTGTCAACCTGATTAGATTGAAGGATGCAAAGTATTGATCCTGGGTATGTTTGTGAGGGTGTTGCCAGAAGTGATTAACATTTGAGTCAGTGGGCTGGGGAAAGCAGACTCACCTGTATTAGTTTGTTTTCACACTACTGATAAAAGCGTGCCCCAGACTGGGCAATTTACAATAGAAAGAGCTTTAATTGGACTTATAGTTCCGCATGGCTGGCAAAGCCTCACAATCATGGCAGAAGGCAAGAAGGAGCAAGTAACATCTTATGTGGATGGCAGCAGGCAAAGAGAGAGATTGGGCAGGGAAACTCCCCCTGATAGTATCATAATACTATCAGATCTCATGAGACTTATTTGCTATCATGAGAACAGCACGGGAAAGACCTGGCCCATGATTCAGTTACCTCCCACCAGGTTCCTCTCACAACACGTGAGAATTTGAGATGAGATTTGGGTTGGGAAACAGCCAAACCATATCATTCCACTCCTGGCCCCTCTGAATCTCATGTCGTCACATTTCAAAACTAATCATACCTTCCCAACAGCCCCCCAAAGTCTTAACTCATTTCAGCAATTACTCAAAAGTCCATAGTCCAATGTCTCATCTGAGATAAGCCAAGTCCCTTCTGCCTATGAACCTGGAAAATCAAAACCAAGTTAGTTACTTCCTAGATACAGTAGGGGTACAGGAATTGGGTAAATATAGCCATTCCAAATAGGAGAAGTTGGCCACAACAAAGGCCTACAGGCCCCATGCAGTTCGAAATCCAGTGGGGCAGTCAAATCTTAAAGCTCCCAGATAATCTCCTTTGACACCATGTCCCACATCCAAGTCATGCTGAAGCAAGAAGTGGGTTCCCCTGGTCTTGGGCAGCCCTACCCCTGTGGCTTTGCAGTGTACAATCTCCCTCCCAGCTGCTTTCACAGGCTGGGCATTGAGAGTCTGTGGCTTTTACAGGTGCATGGTGCAAGCTGTTGGTGGATCTACCATTCTGAGGTCTGGAGGATGGTGGCCTTCTTCTCACAGCTCCACTAGGTGGTGCCCCAGTAGGTACTCTGTTGGAGGGGGGGCTCCAACCCCACATTTCTCTTCTTCACTGCCCTAGCAGAGGTTCTCCATGAGAGCTCCACCCCTGAAAACAAACTTCTACCTGGACATCCAGGAGTTTCCATACATCCTCTGAAATCTAAGCAGATGTCACCAAACCTCAATTCTTGACTTCATGCACTCACAGGCTCAACACCACATGGAAGCTCCCAAGGCTTGAGATTTGCACCCTCTGAAGCCATGGCTCGAGCTCTACGTTGCCCCCTTTCAGCCATAGTTGGAACTGCTGGGACACAGAGCATGAAGTCCCTAGGCCATACACAGCATGGGGACCCTGGGCCTGGCCCAGGAAACCATTTCCTTCTAGGTCTCCAGGACTGTGATGGGAGGGACTGCTGTGAAGACCTCTGACATGCCCTGGAGACATTTTCCCCATTGTCTTGGGGATCAACATTCAGCTCCTTATTTCTCATGCAAATTTGTATAGCCTGCTTGAATTTCTCCCCAGAAAACGGCTTTTTCTTTTCTATCGCATTGTCAGGCTGCAAATTGTCCAAACTTTTATGCTCTGCTTCCCTTATAAAGTTGAATGCCTTTAACAGCACCCAAGTCACCTCTTCAATGATTTGCTGCTTAGAAATTTCTTCCTCCAGATACCCTAAATCATCTCTCTCAACTTGTAAGTTCCACAAATCTCTAGGGCAGGGGCAAAATGCTGCCAGCCTCTTTGCTAAAACGTAACAAGAGTCACCTTTGCTCTAGTTACCAACAAGTTCCTCATCTCCACCTGAGACCACCTCAACCTGGACCTTATTGTCCATATCACTATCAGGATTTTGGTCAAAGCAATTCAACAAGTTTCTAGGAAGTTTCAAACTTTCTCACATTTTCCTGTCTTCTTCTGAGCCCTCCAAGCTGTTGCAACCTCTGCCTGTCACCCAGTTCCAAAGCTGCTTCCATGTGTTCAGGTATCTTTTCAGCAGTCCCACACTCTACTGGTACCAATTCACTGTATTAGTTCATTTTCATGCTGCTTATAAAAACACAATACCCAAGACTCGGCAATTTACAATAGAAAGAGGTTTAATTGGACTTACAGTTCCACATGGCTGGGGAAGCCTCACAATCATGGCAGAAGGCAAGGAGGAGCAAGTAATGTCTTACGTGGATGGCAGCAGGCAAAGAGAAAGATTGGGCAGGGAAACTCCCCCTTATGATGCAGTCAGATCTCATGAAACTAATTCACTATGATAAGAACAGCCTGGGAAAGACTTGCCCCCATGATTCAATTACCTCCCACTAGGTTCCTTCCACAACATATGGGAATTCAAGATGAGATTTGGGTGGAGACACAGCCAAACCATATCAGGTGAATGCTCAGCCTCACTAGGTGGCTACTGTTAAAAAGAGAACATTGCTTGGGGAAAAAAATGGGACCCTGTAATCTGTGATGGGGATGTGTGGGAGGTCCCTGATGAAGCTGAAGACACCAAGCTCCTAAATTCTGTTTAGCCTTTTTTGCCAGAGGAAACGGCCTCCTTATCCCCAGTGGTGGCAACATCCCCTCCCCAACCCAGGCTGCCATCAGCCTTTCCACCTTTGTCAGAGGAGATTAATCCTGCATTCCCTGAGGAAGCAGCAGTGGCCTTAGTATCACCACCCATAATCTGAGTGGGCACCATCTAATCAGCTGCCAGAGAATATAAAGCAGGCAGAAAAACATGAAAAGCCTAGACTGGCTTAGCCTTCCAGCCTACATCTTTCTCCTGTGCTGGATGCTTCCTGCGATCAAACATCGAACTCCAGGTTCTTCAGCTTTGGGACTCAGACCGGTTTCCTTGCTCCTCAGCTCTTGTGATTGTTTGAGTTAATACTACTTAATAAATTCCCCTTTTTATATAGGTATCTATCTATCATATTATCTCTGTCCCGCTTTAGAACCCTAATATAAGGGGATTACAAATCAAGATGAGACTTTGTGTTGGGACACAGCCAAACCATATCAGCCAATGAAACCTGTTTTTGTGTTTTTTGTTTTTTTTCTAAATTACCCAGTCTCAGGTATTTCTTTATATCAATATATTTATATAAATTATATGTCTATATTAATTATAGTAATTTGATTTAAACTAGATCCAATCTAATCAAATAAACATGTTTTGACTGTGATTCTATTCCAGGTAGTATGCTAGTCATATACATATATAATCTCCGTTCAAAGAATTTACAGATTGATAGAAAATAAATAATTATGTGACCTTCTGTACGTCAAGTGCAGCAATAAGCAAATGTGTTACAAGAGAAGCCTATATGGTCTAATGAAGAATATTAGAACTATTATTGCAGAAGTTTAAAGTACAAAGCAAGGAATTACATGAAATCAAGCTGGAAATATAGGCTGAAGACATATTATGAAGGGTCTTATGAGATATATTAAGGAGCTTGGAATATTTCACTTTATGTATTAGGGAGTAATAGAATTATTTGGAGTAAGAAGAGTAAAAAGTTGCTAAAGAGAAGGAGTGATAGGGAATAAATAGTTGTTTTTACAGTGACTATGGAGTAAAATAAATAGGACCAAATCTTAAATTTGAAGTATGAAATGAAAGAACAAAAGTGAGGGAGAGTTCCAAATATTTAGGAAGTAGGAAAACAAGCAGCAACTGATTGCATGTAGTGAAAAAACAAAAGACTTAATGCCATCTCTAGACATTCTTCTCACCCTCTATGAGGTGGTAATGTAGAGGTTTGTACTGTAATACTATAGAATCCCCTGGTTTATAACTATTTTCTGCCAGCTACTCAATCTCTTTTTCATTAAAGACTTGACCTGAAGTGGTGGCTTATGCCTGTAATCCCAACTCTTTGGGGGGCCTAGGCAGGTGGATCACCTGAGGTCAGGAGTTAGAGACCAGTCCGACCAACATGGTGAAACTTCGTCTCTACCAAAAATCCAAAAGTAGCCGGGTGTGATGGCACGTGCCTGTAATCCCAGCTAGCAACTAGGGAGGCTGAGACAGGAGAATCACTTGAACCCAGGAGATGGAGGTTGCAGTGAGCTGTGATCACGCCACTGTACTCCAGCCTGGGCTATAGTGCCAGTTCATGCTTTTTCTTTCCACTCTAAATCCTATAATTTTTCTATGTTGTTCTTAAGGTTGACACATCTACCGCCTGGCCTCTTAGGTCCAAAACTCCTCAATTCTAATTGACTCCTAAGGCCAGACTCTTTAGATGGTTATTTGACAACCTTCTTTCCTTCCAATTCATTGTTCATAATCGCTTCATCTGTTTCATCTCAACAACCATCAACCTGGAATATCCCCCACTTTGCAGAGCTAATTCCTAAGCATTTTTCACAATTCAAAGCCAATTAGGGATCAGGCCTCCTACCTCCAGTCTAAATCAGTCTCCCTTCCTGTTCTATGCAGGGTCCATTTTCACAATCATTTTTTTAGCCCCAGTTGCATTGTTGCTACATAGACCTCGAAACCTAAGTTCAGCTGGACTAAGCTGAAGGAAAAGACACAACAATGCAGACAGGATTCCCTTCAAATTCATAACTAATAAACTTACGTGATCTCAGATGACTGCCAAGGATAACTACAACCTGCTTTTATTCTATTTTTTCTCTCACTCTCCTAGATAACTATTTCATTCTTTTTCTCTTTCCAACCCTCCAAAATTTTCTTTCCATACTCTCAGCTGATTGTCTTTTTTCCTAACTCACTTGCAAAACAAAAGCCACAAAAAGAGATCCTATAAAACTTCCTTATCACAACCATTTCCTATATATTTTTTTTTCCTCTTGGATGCACTAAATTCAGTCTTTTCTTATGTGCATGAAACCCAGACCCTCTCATCTTTTCAACAACGCCATTTTTATTAGTTTTGGTACTCATACTTTATTGGATCAGTCCATAATCTTACAAAAAGTTGTTGTTTCCAGAGTTTATATAAATTAACAAGCTGACACACAAAACTTACCCTAAACATATATTCCGTCTTCTGCTAAACCCCACTTTCTTCTCCCTTTTTAGAAAAATAATCTTAAAGAAGTTTCTATCCACACTATTTCTTGTTGTTCACTTTCTGTTTTTACTCAAACCAATCCAATCAGGCCTTTGCCACATCTGTTGCTACTGAAAATTTTATTTTACTATTAGTACTAACTTCCAATGATGAAGTCTCAGTTTTCACCTGACTTAACCTATCAAGTGCTTTTGACACAACTGATCTAATTTGCTTAAAATAAAATAAGTGTGGCAGGGTACACAGGTGAATTCTTCGTAGTAGTCAAAGTGGCAGCTTCACTATGCATAATCAGACTTCTGCATTCCCAAGCAAACTCATCCTATTAAAGGAATTTAGTTAGAAGAAATAATACAGCTGAACCAGGTAAAATGTGATGGCTTTGGATTTATGAAAATTGAGAGAAGCTTGATAAAATATAAAACAAGAAAGATAAAATATAAGAAAAGGAATAGAAGAAGGATATATTTAAATCATTTTTCTAATATTCTTTTTATATTTATATTATTTTATATTCTTATAAGAATATAAATCCTTCAATGTATACTAGGACTTATGCTTCTCTTGCCCATAACAAATATACTTGTGTATAAAAATTACCTGTTAATTACTAAATTACTCAATATTTATATATTTTCAAAGATTCCTTTTCAATCATTGATCATGTGAGACAAAAGGGACTAGGTTCTAAACTAGATATATTAATAGTTTCCAGATAATATAAAATAATATGATTAGTTGAGGCAGACTTACAGTCTTAAGTTAGCTTCAGAAATATCATCATTATCTATTTTTAATTTTTTTAAATTATTTTTTAAATTTTTGTGGGTACATAGTATGTGTATATATTTATGGGGTACATGAGATGTTTTGATACAGGCATACAATGTGAAATAAGCACATCATGGAGAATGGAGTATCCATACACTCAAACATTCACTCTGAGTAACAATCCATAAAGAGAGCGATATTTGCTTAAACACCATTCCGTTATTTACCCAAGTTTAAGACAGACGCAGAGGAATAATCTCTTGAAAATACTTCATTATGTACATTATGAAAATAATTTTATGACTATTTTATTTCTATGGCTTTCAAATCCATTTTTGTATACGTTCATTATGTAAATGTCAACAACTTCTATTATAGACATTTTCACATTTCTGCTATCATACATAATTATATTTAATTCATAAAGAATAGACATTATCCTTTCACTTAAACCATCATGTTTTTAAATACCATTATAATTTAAGTGTATACATGTGAATGTATATTTGTATGCATGTACATATATATAATATACATATTTCAAAATGTAAATTGGTTTGCCCTGCTGTTGCTTTGAGCCATTTAAAATGTTCTGACTTTAGTTTATGTAATCATAACTACTTATAGTTCATAAAAGGAGATTTTCATAGGAAACTAAAGGTGCAAGGCCACACACTAAAGATGTTAAAATGTGTGCAAAGAATGCCTGTTTAATTTTCAGCAGTGTAGGTGTGAAATAGTCTTTCTTTCACTTAAGTTTATCATTTAGCTATAAAATATTCATAACAGAGGCAAGAATAAAAATAAAAAAGCTGCGAAGAATGGAAAATTAAAGGTAATGAAATAAACTTGATTAATTCTGAAACAGAAGGTGAACCAAACCCTGAAACACTATTACAAACGGTTGCACCAGGGATAGACGTGCTTCAAATCCAAATGCAAGCTAAGGAAGGTAGGCAGCCTCTAGAAGCTAGAAAAGGCAAGAAAACAGACCATCTCATAGGGCTTCCAGGAAGAAAACAGCCCGGTGACACCTTGATTTTAGCCCAGTAAGACCCATCCAGACTTCTAACCTCCAGAACTGTAAGATGCCCCAAATATTCATACATTTGTGCTGTTTTTAAGCTACTAAGTTTGTGGCGATTTGTTACGATAGTAATAGAAAACAAATAAAAGGCTTTACCAATGATTACATTTTGATAGAAGTGGGTAATTTTTTAAGATAATTATGTGTATGCATGTATGTATCTCAAAATGCTCAGGTTTTGCAAACAACTTGGCTTCAAAGATTGTGGTTTTTGTTATCAATTTGGAGATGTATTCAGAAAATCAGCTTAAGGTTATTTACACCCTGCTCAAAGGCATTGTTCATAGAAATCTATCACTACCATATGAATCAAGAGAGAAGTATATTAGATAGAAGGACGCACTAAGAAAAGATCATTCACTAAAATTCTACCTAATCCTTCCTATTATTCTATTTTCACAAAGAACGATTATTTCATGTCTGGTTGTCTTTCCCTCCATATTTAAGAAAATAGTTATCACTAGAAATAATGTATTCCTTACAGAATACTCTTTAATTTTCTTTCCCCCCAGCCACCCCCACCCCACCATCCCAGTTTGGTGGAATGAATACTTTTACTCTTAGGAGGATTACTTGCTTGACTACTTTTAAAATGATCAACTCTACCACTTGGAAGACTCTTCTTTCTTCTAACCTAATGTATGTGAATTGAGCTCTCCTTATAGGGAAACTGATAAGCATACATTATGTTTGATAAGAATTGAATGCAAATATTCTGCCATCAGTCCACATATATCAGTTGTTTGATACTGGGCACTAGGAAGACTGGAAAAGACACTAGGAAAACAATCTACTTGTGGGTCTAGCTTGACTATACTCATTGATCTATTTCTGGTTTTCAAAGTACTTCCAGACTACTTAGTTTTGACATGATAACTGGGTATTATTTTCTTAGGTACCATTTTCTTGACATTGTTTATTTTCCATTACTCAAAATAGAAGGGGCATTGTGCCCCATTTACACCATGAGGACAAGTTTTCTTCAAATTTGAGAACTCTTAATTTGGCTAATAATCACTATATTTTTACAATGAACACAGTTAGATGAGGCTTGGTTCTTTCAGAAAATTCGAAGCTGTTGAATTCTTTAGCAAATTATGCCACATTTATCCAGGACACTTTCTTATTGTTAAGGATATTCCTTATTTTCCTTTTTTCATAATTTTTTTCTTTTTTTAAAAAATTGGTTAAATTGTGATTAGAAAATGAGTCTTAATTTAGAAAAACAATCAATATCAGTAATTCCCTACAACCATTGATAAACTGCCTTATCACTTTTGTGTTTATCTATCTATTCAGATCGCCATAAAAACACATAAACACAAAAATAGCTGAGACTATATTTTATATATTATATTTTGTAGAAAATTGATTTTTACTTAACAGATACAAACATCACTGCGTATTAATACATTTACGCTTTTAAGTGTCAAAAGACCAACAATTCTAATTTCTTATCTGCCTAATTTTTATCCTCCTCTACCTTTTCTTCTATCCTTCTATGGCAACTCAAAGAAACATTTATTAATGTTCCTACCAGTAATGCACCACTGTGCTAGTAGTGGCTGCTAAATCCTTTTCACAATGGCAGGTCTTCCAGAGGCTGAGTTTTCTTGATTACAGACAGAAGGAGATTCTTCAGGGAGTGTAAATTTAGCTTGATATGGAGCAATAGGATTGGCAGTTGTGATTGGAAAAGTAAAATAGTGAAGAGTAAATACTGGCCATAAATACAAAAGGGGATGACAGCAATATTAATATGCTTTTCTTACAACTTGCATATATAAGAACTGTGGCACAAGGTCACAAATAATGATCATACATTTAATACATATAGCAGTTGGTTATCACTAATACTATCTATTTGAGTGTACGAAATGATTAAATGGGCTTCGACATAGCAAAAGCATATGGAGATATCAGCTAAGCCAAAGCATCCCAATCATAGAGCTTCTATTAAGGCCCTGCTGAAACAAATCCGAGTTTAATTTAAACTCCACAGGAAAGGGTGCTCTTTGCTCATCAACTGCTGTTTTTGCCTCAACACTAAGGAGTGGGGCTTTTTATCAGCCACCTGCTCCTCCACAAAACTGTATAAAATGAAATGGTTATCTATATATATTTTTTATTTTTATGGTTTTCAACAGTCCGGGTCATGATCCAGAATTGCTGCAGAGATATTGCCAAGACAGAAAAAGTGTAAAGCCTCTTAATATTTTGAATCAGCCTAAGCAGGATAGGAAGACTTATGCATAAAAATCATTACTTAACACATGTGCTGGGCAATGAGTGGAAGGGGAGGCCAGTGGCATTGCTGCTCCAAACTTTGTGCTAAGTACTTTCAAATGAATGAATAAAATTCCCATTGGAGGACGTTCTCTTTTTAATTATTTCCTACTCTGCATAACACAAAACATTTTGAGGCAGATTTCAGACTATAGTTTCTCTTTATAAACAGAAAGTTTTGTTTTAAAAAATGCATACCATTTCTTGAGTTAGAATAGACTAAGGAAGTGTAAATGCTACGGCGGCGTGGACTAAATCAAGGTGGTATTTAAAACACTATTTCAACAAAATCTTCCTTGGCTATGCTGTACTTCTACAGCCTGATTAGTAAAATTAGTTCACATGACAAAGGGGTTGGGAAATGGGGCCAACTGTGTTATGCTGGAAAGAACGCTAAACCACAAATCCATTCTAATTCTATTACTTACAAGTTGTCCTCTTCATGCTTACACAGAATAGGCTTTATTTAGTTTACAAATTGGAATGCAGCAATGATATTTTAAGCATGAGTATCACATCTTGAAATGTTATGAGTTGTATTTTCCCCTGAGAAATTTTAAAATTGATTTAGCAACTTTATTTTGCCTATTTTAGATTCCACAGGCATTATGTACTAATATAAATTCAATATATTTTGCTGAATAAATTAAATCTTATTCTTACTAAGGCCTTTGAGAGAATACAAAGTTGAATAAAATTTAATCCCAGCCCTCAGATATATTTTAATATAAAATTGAAAAAAAAACCTGTCACTTAAGGATATGATTACATTCAGCTGTATTTTTAGTTGAATTAAAGAAATTTTTAAGGTGCTGAAAGGCTTATAAATAGATTCTTTGGGCAATTAGCTTAGTCATCATGCTGCTTGTAGAGGGAAACTATTTGAATGTCACTATTGACTAATTTAGCTTTAGGTAAACAAAGAATCACTGGACATGTTTCAGTAAGTGAGTTCCATGGTCAATTTCCAAAATTCCCAGAGTATACAAATAGGGCAGCATAGACATAATGAATAAAAAATGAATAAACAAATCAGTTAGTAAATAAAATATTACATATTTTGTAACTTGTTTAATTTGGAAGTTTAAGAAACATGAGGGAGGAGGGTGATTAAAAGATAAACCTCACATTCTACTTTGAAGGAACAGTATACTGCTACTAGAAACGGAGAAATCTAGACTTTTTTAGTCTTTTGTGAAGGGAAGATAATTCAGTGTTGAAAATATTAAATTGGCAATGCCAGGGATTTCCGGTCACAATTTCAATGAGGTTGTTTGAAATGTTGAACAAACAACCCCATCAACAAGTGGGCAAAGGATATGAACAGACACTTCTCGAAAGAAGACATTTATGCAGCCAAAAGACATATGAAAAAATGCTCATCATCACTGGCCATCAGAGAAATGCAAATCAAAACCACAATGAGATACCATCTCACACCAGTTAGAATGGCAATCATTAAAAAGTCAGGAAACAACAGGTGCTGGAGAGGATGTGGAGAAATAGGAACACTTTTACACTGTTGGTGGGACTGTAAACTAGTGCAACCATTGTGGAAAGTCAGTGTGGCGATTCCTCAGGGATCTATAACTAGAAATACCATTTGACCCAGCCATCCCAGTACTGGGTATATACCCAAAGGTTTATAAATCATGCTGCTATAAAGACACATGCACACGTATGTTTATTGTGGCACTATTCACAATAGCAAAAACTTGGAACCAACCCAAATGTCCAACAATGATAGACTGGAATAAGAAAATGTGGCACATATACACCACGGAACACTATGCAGCCATAAAAAATGATGAGTTCATGTCTTTTGTAGGGCCATGGATGAGGCTGGAAATCATCATTCTTAGCAAACTATCTCGAGGACAAAAAAGCAAACACCGCATGTTCTCACTCATAGGTGGGAATTGAACAATGAGAACACATGGACACAGGAAGGGGAACATCACACACTGGGGCCTGTTGTGGGGTGGGGGGAGGCGGGAGGGACTGCATTAGGAGATATACCTCATGTTAAATGGCGAGTTAATGGGTACAGCACACCAACATGGCACATGTATACATATGTAACAAACCTGCACGTTGTGCACATGTACCCTAAAACTTAAAGTATAATAATAATAATAAAAAGAAATGTTGGCCGGGTGCAGTGGCTCACGCCTGTAATCCCAGCATTTTGGGAGGCCGAGACAGGCGGATCACGAGGTCAGGAGATCGAGACCATCCTGGCTAACATGGTGAAACCCCATCTCTACTAAAAATACAAAAAATTAGCTGGGCGCAGTGGTGGGCGCCTGTAGTCCCAGCTACCTGGGAGGCTGAGGCAGGAGAACAGCGTGAATCCGGGAGGCAGAGCTTTCAGTGAGCCGAGATAGCGCCACTGCAGTCCCGCCTGGGTGAAAGAGCGAGACTCCGTCTCAAAAAAAAAAAAAAAAAGAAATGTTGAACTAAAACACAAATATACTGATAAATGATTAATTTAATAATAGTAAAAACAAAAGTTTGATCTATGAATTCGATTATAAAGAAATAATTTCGATGATTGATAGTGATAAAGCCAAGTAAAAGAATCTTAGTGAATGTTAATAGGTAAATAATGACCTCGGAATTTCTGGGAGAAGTTTACAGAAGACTGAGAAAATAGATACCTCACTGGATAGTGAGAAAAAATTGTTTTTGTTGCTGTTGCTTATAATTATTTAATTTTATTTATTGTCAATTTATCAACATCGTAGCATTTTATATAAACGTATTTTTATCTCTCAACAAAATGCAATAGTAGATATTAAAATGTAAAGTAGAACAAACAAAAAATTCCATATCCTTTTAGATCAGCACATGAGTAGTCTTTAGTAGCCTTAATATTATGGTCAGACTCCAGCCCCACCCCTAGATTCTCATATAATTTATCTGGCATGAGCACAGATATTAACATTTTTAATATAACTTTGAATTCTATTGTAATCCAAGGTTAAGAAGCACTGTAGTCCATATTATGCTTATTGTCATTTGTTTAGCTATGAAAAAAATCAGTGATTTTTTTTCTAAGGCAGACATATCTAACTCTTTTGACCAAAAGTCTTAGTTTTTATTTATTTTTTTTAATACAGAGTCTCGCTCTGTTGCTGAGGCTGGAGTGCAGTGGCATGATCTCAGCTCACTGCAACCTCCTCCTCCTGGGTTCAAACAATTCTCCTGCATCAGCCTGCTCAGTAGCTGGGACTACAGGCACCTGCCACCATGCCCGGCTAATTTTTTGTATTTTAGTAGAGACAGGGTTTCACAGTGTTGTGCAGGCTGGTCACGAACTCCTGAGCTCAGGCAATTCTCCCGCCACCGCTACCCAAATTGCTGGCATTACAGGCGTGAGACACCGCTCCAAGCCAAGTCTTGATGTTTTAAAGGTTAAAAAGACCTCTAACCATTTTTCATTAAAGAAACCTGAGTTGCACAGACAGGATGATATTAACATACTTCTATGGAGGCTTATTGTGGGCCTGGGACTGTTCTATGCACTTTGCATATATTAACTGATGTAGTATCCATAATCCACCTATGGGAATATTCATTATACAGATGAAGAAACTAAAGGAGAAGCATACATGGGTTATGTATCATGCCCAGGGTCATACATGCATTCCATGGAAGATCCAGAATTTCTTTCCAGGTTATCCAGCTCCAGAAGCCATCTTCTGAGTTACAAAGTTGTTTTTCACAGTTCTATGATTTTCCTGACTCTGTTCTCAATTTTCTTTGCACCGTATGGTGCTACAGTTTTTTTGAGGCAGAAATTCTGGAGGTGAAAGGGGTATTTGGGGCACAAAACAACACTTTATAGAAAAAAGTAGGAAGATAAATGAGTAAATGTGTACTTGATGTTTTTATTTCTAGAAACTGAATCATGGGCATATATTAGTAATATCGTCGGTATTTTCACCTTGGCAGAAGTATATGGCCACCTCTCAATGAACAACTTCCTTTAAAATTAAAAATAATAGATTCATTAAAATTAGAATATGCAGATTTTATTTATCATATGGTACAAGTAAGCTATTTGCCAATAAATTTATGACTTTTTTGTCTTAAACATTAAATTTAAAACAGTACAATTTGCAACAAACTCATCATTCCTGCAAAAACTATCTTCATTATCAGCAACTGACATTATGTATACAACAGTGTGAAGTTATATTGGATCACTTGCTGGTGATAATCAAGGAAGGGTGCACTAAACCCACCTAGTAAAATATTATTGCAGACTAGGTATGTCAAGGGTAATATGTTACAATATTTTTTTTCTGCTCTACTGTATTATTCAGCTGCGTACATAAGAAGTAAAAACAATTTAAAAAATTAATGAGAGCTTGACTAGTCGTTTGGGATTTTTGTAGAAACTATGTCACAAAAGTGGCAAGTTATACAGTATGTATCATATAAATAAGGTGCTAGTTTCCTAATGGATTTTTTCTCTATTAAAAACAATAAAAAAAATCCATCAAACTTTGATTTTGATTCTATACGAGATACACATCTTTGATATATCTGTGTGAATAGAAACTCCTTAGCAACTGCTTAGTGAATTAATGTTAAATGGAAAAGTTATTTCCTTTATTCATTGCATTAATTAGTGATAACCGTTTTATATTAGACGTTTGTTGTGTTTTCATTGGCTATCACAAAACAGACACTCTCTGCTGATAAAGCATCCCCACAATAAGTTGTTTTTTTTTGGTTTTTTTTTTGTTTTGTTTTTTTGAGACGGAGTCTCGCTCTGTCGCCCAGGCTGGAGCACAGTGGCGCGATCTTGGCTCACTGCAAGCTCCACCTCCCAGGTTCATGCCATTCTCCTGCCTCAGTCTCCCAAGTAGCTAGGACTACAGGCGCCCACCACCACGCCCGGCTAATTTTTGTATTTTTTGGTAGAGACAGGGTTTCACCTTGTTAGCCAGGATGGTCTGGATCTCCTGACCTCGTGATCCACCCGCCTCAGCCTCCCATAGTGCTGGGATTACGGGTGTGACCCACCGCGCCTGGCCAACAATAAGCATTATTTATATCTTGCCTCTCATCATAGAAGTTAAGGTATCCAAATGTTTTCTTTTCTTACTCATCGACATAAGAGCCTAAGAAAGTTAAATTATTCTTTATTGGCCTGAAACTTTATAACCTTTATAATATGATTAATAAAATTGCCTTTTCTTGGAGAAAAAAATACTTACAGATTGTGGCTGTGGTCTATTATGCTCAAGTAAATCACATCGAAATCTGGGTGTGTTTTATCCAAAAGACAATTTACAAATAATGCAATAAACTGACCTTATAAAATAACTATAAATAAATTTCTCTCAGAGATGAATTCTGGCATTTGCACTAAGAACCATGACTAAGTATCATGTTTATATTTTTAAAGCACAAAATAAAATCATGTTCTTTTTACTATATTAAAAAGTCAAAGAAATGTATAATACGTTGAAAAATTATTTTTTCATCTAAAACAGTTTAAGGAAAATGTGCAGTTGCCATAGGAGATTTCAGAAAAATCTATGTTCTGTTTAATCATAATTTGCAAGAACTTAGTGACAAAAAGGATTAAGGAGATAAAAGTTGTCAGGTGTAACTCTCTAAAAGTTTATTTGAACATTAAAGAGTGACAAAAGAAAACATTTTGTATTTAATATAATGATAAAATAAGATGTTTGCTTTAATGTTTAACAGTTATAGGCTTCTGAAATGTTGCTTTTAAACAAATATTTTCCATTATTATTAAAATACTTGTTGTGTTAGTTTTTATTTCCTCCTCTAAAATTCCTCAACATTGTTCCAGAAAGTTATGACATATTTATAAAATAATATTTGTGTTTGAATCACAGATACTTAAATAATTTCATTCACATGACAAATACATTCTGGGGAAATCCTTAAAAGGAAAGCATATAAAAGTAGAGAGTTTCCTTTGGAATGTATTTAACTAAGTTTTTTGATATTATTTATTTATGATTAAACTATTGAAACCATAGTTTGCTGAAATACCAGTTTAACAGAGTACTTAAACCAACTTCAAATTGACATATATGTAAGCTGTAGTTGCTGTTTGTTTCAAGAATAAATGAATGAATTTTCATTGTTAAAATGTTTCTAGCCTGTGGCAGGCATATTTCTAAGTTGTTTCCTATATTACAGTACTGTGATAACAAAGTACCAGAGACTGGATGGCTTAATAGATATTTGTTTCCTCACAATTCTGGGAGCTAGATATGTGAAATCAGGATTTCTCTTTTCACTTTCATTTTTGTAGGGTCGATAAATAATCTTTCCCTCACCGATTCCAAGGTTCATAACTAAAGAGATCAAAAAAGAGATCAACAAGAGAAGAACATATACATTTACTTAACATAATTTTTACATGACATGAGAGGCTTGAGAAATCAAAAACTAAATAAATATGTAAATAGGTATATTTTTTATCAATAGTTGTGCAGAAGTATAATTTAAAGACAAAGGGATATGATTTAATGGTGATAAACAAGGAGAGAGGGTCAGCAAGACCTGTATGTTCAGAATATTCTTGGCATCCCTAGATGGACATTCCTTTCCTGTGGGTATAGGTCAGGACTTTTGTCATTTTTAACACGGTGAGGGTTATCAGGGGAGAAGACAGGGAGAAAGTCAGAGTGACCTAGGTTATATGGCTTGCTTCAAGAAAAGGCAAGAAGAAGGTGGCTATGGACTTCCTCCTTCTGCTGTCTTCTTAGATGGCAAGATGACATGTGTTGGGTTAGCTTGTCATGAACCCCGTTATCCTCCTGTATAACACTTCCCAAAGAAGTTTCACAGTCCAGAGACTACTTTGTGGATTATCCCATAAAACATTGAACTAGTGTCTCCGTCCAGTTGGACGGTTAACAGATGTGTCTCATTTAAGAAGGTAGTGTTGCAGGTGGGCTCCCACGAAAGTTAGGTTTCTAAGTGGTAATTATCAGTTAAGTATTTAACAAGAGGCATTCTGATGGAAAGAAAAGAAAAGCAAATATTAATGGTTAGAACAAACTATAAATTCAGTTTGTGAGTTTAGAGGGTAGCCAGTTGAGATTTCTAGAAGTTGAGCTCTAAACATCTCAGGTAGAGTGAAGTCAGGCAACGGCAATTTGACAGGTTTTCCTGGAATACAGTTAGCCTTGGGTGTTTTGATGGGCTTCCTGAGTGACAGGACGAAGTTTGTCCATGTATAAGGTATTGTAGATTTATCTGAAGTCTATATAGAGATATCCAGTTTTACTTGCAGGGCTTCAGAAATAGGCAAGTTATAATTTTAAGGATTTCAACCAAGAAGGATTGGAGAAAAATTGAAAGTATTATTAATTTGTGTAGTTGTAACCAGATATGAAAGAAAACTAGAAGAATTCAGGATTCAGTTCAGATCATAGGTAAATAACAAAACCTCCAAAAGAATAAACAGAATGAGGATCTAATGCCCACAAGAGTTTGTTATAGTTTTTCATAAAACATATTTTTTCTTTCCGGAACCATATTAAACTTTTTTCAAAAATAATTAGGGTAAAATTTATTTATTTGCAAAATAATTCTACTTTCATTAAACATGGCCCAATTAGTTACATAAATGCAGCAAGTGATTGATCGCATAGTCATTTCAGTCTGCTTTTCAAGAACTTTGAATAAGGAATCTCAGATTCGAAATTTAAAAGCTTTGCCTGGCTAAGAAGCCAAGCCAAGTGTTAACCATTTGATTACTTCTCAAATTCCTATAGACTTGACTGAATTCCACTCTTTTGAGGTTCCCAAATATTCCAAATATTCTGATGTTCCTGGGCTTACTAGGAACACATTCTTTACTCACCTGCATGGGAACCATGTATGCAGAATAGCAGAATACCAGGCATTTTTCTGTTTGCTTGTTTGTTTTTGTTTTTGTTTTTTCTTTTTTTTTATTATACTTTTAAGTTTTAGGGTACATGTGCACATTGTGCAGGTTAGTTACATATGTATACATGTGCCATGCTGGTGCGCTGCACCCACTAACTCGTCATCTAGCATTAGGTATATCTCCCGATGCTATCCCTCCCCGCTCCCACCACCCCACAACAGTCCCCAGAGTGTGATATTCCCCTTCCTGTGTCCATGTGATCTCATTGTTCAGTTCCCACCTATGAGTGAGAATATGCGGTGTTTGGTTTTTTGTTCTTGCGATAGTTTACTGAGAATGATGATTTCCAATTTCATCCATGTCCCTACAAAGGACATGAACTCATCACTTTTTTATGGCTGCAAAATTTACAAGAAAAAAACAAACAACCCCATCAAAAAGTGGGTGAAGGACATGAACAGACACTTCTCAAAAGAAGACATTTATGCAGCCAAAAAACACATGAAAAAATGCTCATCATCACTGGCCATCAGAGAAATGCAAATCAAAACCACAATGAGATACCATCTCACACCAGTTAGAATGGCAATCATTAAAAAGTCAGGAAACAACAGGTGCTGGAGAGGATGTGGAGAAATAGGAACACTTTTACACTGTTGGTGGGACTGTAAACTAGTTCAACCATTGTGGAAGTCAGTGTGGCGATTCCTCAGGGATCTAGAACTGGAAATACCATTTGACCCAGCCATCCCATTACTGGGTATATACCCAAAGGACTATAAATCATACTGCTATAAAGACACATGCACCTGTATGTTTATTGCGGCATTATTCACAATAGCAAAGACTTGGAACCAACCCAAATGTCCAACAATGACAGACTGGATTAAGAAAATGTGGCACATATACACCATGGAATACTATGTTTTTGTTTTTTCTGAGAGGCTTTATTGACTTAATAAAGTCAACCAAAGTTATTTAAAGTTGTCTGGTTATATCTGAAAATGTAACATTCCAGTTAAAGCCTTGGTACTATAACTAGAGTTTCCAAATTTGTTCCGTTACAAGGATAACAGATTCTTATTAAACTTATGCAAATAACTATATATTGCCATAAAATGTATAATACTAATGAGTAGTTTTCAAGTTCTGGAGGAATCAGGTAGGGAAAAAATAATTGGTGAAGTTTTGTTCACCATGATATACTTTTCAAAAATTTTGTAAGCCATAGATAGCTTAAGAAAAATAAACAATACATTTCCTTAAATCTGGAAAACAAAACATTAAAGAACCAGCAATGTTTCAAACAAAAACTCACAAAAACATTTATACCCTTCACTTCATTCAGCCCCATGTAATCAGTTCTTGTTCCACTTAATCTGATAAATACTTTCAAAAACTCTTCAGTTTCTTCATTAGAGTTCTGGAAATTCTTACTTAGTCCAGTGGTATGATTTAAAGTTATTGGAAACTTGCATTCTAGATAAATTGTCAGAGTCTTTTTCTTATCTCATTGAAAAAAGAAGCCATTTGGGAATGTAACTGATTGCAAACACTTTCATAAAATAATTTGAGTAAAACAATAATTGGCTATGGATGACAAAAGACTTAAAATAGTCATGGGTAAGATCTGATGAGAGTATATTATAATAATGATGAAACTGACAATGAAATTTTATTATTTCTGTGGCACACAACATTTTGAGATAATAACCAAAATTATTACTGACGACATTATACAAGGCCATATACATTTGTGGAAATTATATCCGTTTTTTGAAATAATCACATCAATAACAAATATAACTTAAAGAAAGTATCACTTAATATTTGACAATGACTCCTATGTAGGGCATATCAAATAAACCTAATTACTTTAAAATCCCTCTTTTATAAGGAGAGACAATAAATTGTTTTCAGATGTTTCAGGGGCCCATCTGAAAAGTCTAAAAATTAGTGCAAGATCAAAAAGACTTATTTTATAATTTGATTTTGGTAAGTTGTCAAAAATGTCAAAGATTTAAAATACTTGAGTAAATGGGATTATAGGTCACTCTGAAATAATACCAAAGTGATAAAAGAAATTGAAAGCAAATATAAAAAGTTACTCAGTTACATATAGACATAGCTTTTTTAATATTGAGAAGATGCACTTTTCTTAAGTAATTAAATACCTAATGAGGACAATGTAAAGCACAGAAAATTATCTTAATGAAACACAAAATATTTGTTTCTGAGGCAGATTACTTATGAGGCTGAAAAACAATTTTTTTATGATTTCTTAATTAAGAACAGACCACCAGCACAAATAAGAAACCCAAACAACAAAAAACTTCTTCATTTTGAGAAAAGAAAACAAATTTTAGTTTTGCATCAGTATACTATTAATACTAGGACTATTAAAAAATAAATACATGCATCCAATCTTAGCCAGCCCTGACTGCACAAGATAAGATTCCTTTTTCAAAACTTTTTCTAAGAAACTTTTTTTTTGTTCATCTTTCTTTTTTTCTCTACATTTTTCTCTTTCTTATTGTGGAATAACCAGTTATTCTACTTTAATACTGTAATGGTTAATAATGAGTGTCAACTTGATTGGATTGAAGGATACAAAGTATTGTTCCTGAGTGTGCCTGTGAGGATGTTGCCAAAGGAGATTAACATTTCAGTCAGTGGATTTGGAAAGGCAGACGCACTCTCAATCTGGGTAGGCACAACATAATCAGCTGCCAGTGCGGTCAGAATAAAAGCAGGCAGAAGAACGTGGAAAGATCAGACTAGTTTATTCTTCCGGCCTACACCTTTCTCCTGTGCTGGAAGCTTCCTGCCCTTCAACATTGGACTTCAACTTCCTCAGCTTTGGGACTCGAACTGGCTTCCTTGCTCCTCAGCTTGCGACCTATTGTAGGACCTCACCTTGTGATTGTGTGAGTCAATACTCCCCTTTAATAAACTCTCCTTTATATATACATCTATACTATTAGTTCTGTCCCTCCAGAGAACCCTAATACAAATCCAGAATTATTCCTTTTTCTCTTAACAACAACAAAAAAAATCCTCATGACTTATAACTTCTCTTGTCAAAAATGTATCTCATTTTTCTTACACATTTAGCATATATAATTGTCTCCTTTATAATTTGCAGTGGTTTTAATTCTATATATTAATTATAATTTTTAACCTTTAGTAACCTTAATTTCCAGTGAAAACTGAAAAGTAAGAAACTGTTACTTATTATACCAACAATGTATAGATGAACACTATTTCATAATTTGTAGAAACACGTCCTTCTTCATAGTATAATTTTTCATGTTTATTAACAGACTCAACATATTTTATCTTTCTATACAATTTAAGAGCCCAAAAGCAGATAAACTCAGGTTCAGCAGTTAATGTTTCAGTACTACATAGAACTGAAGTGACCCAGACATTGAATTATTACCTATTACTTAATTTAACTTAGCATAACATTAGGATTACAGTTACCAAAAAGATTTTTCAACTACTTATAAACATAATGATATGTGAAAAGTTTATTTATAAACATTTATCCCAGTTATATTCTATTTAATACCCTTGTTCTTAACAATTATGATTGAATTCTTCATCAAAATTCCATTAGACACTAGTCAAAGCTAACTGTTATCTTGTTTTTCTAGTAGACAAGTCAAGCAAGTATCACAAATATCACAGAAGCAAAGGAAGTTAAACATGGTTTTCCCCCTCCCTCCCTTTTTTTAAACTTCTATTCATCAGTCAATTCATTTTTATTGCATATTTGCTCTTAGGTTGTAATTATAGTTTTGTAACCTTAAACATCTGGTAGAGATAGCGTAGGCATGTTTGACTAGTAAACCTGGGTAGAAAAAAATGTATATTTGCATTGTATTTAATGACAATTATTAACACATTCTTGTTTTTATTTTACCAGTAATATTTAAACTAGTTTTATCTATCAAAGTTTATTTCATATTAGGTCAAGTTAAAAAAAAAAACAAAAAACTTGGGTTAGTCTCTATATGTCTGAAAGTTTTAGGAATACTTAATTTACATAAGCACTCATTTATCTCTAAGCAAATTCTAGTAGAACTTATTTATGTGATTCTATAAATTAATAATACCATCAAGTGGTAGAGAAGATCACACACAGAAATAACCTACAAACATAAATACAAAAACATATACAAATATACAGACAGATACAAATATCATAGCTTCCATTTTAAAATTTTAGTCGTGAGTCAGTAAAACATGGAAATATGAGCTCACTGGCTAATCTCAACTTACATTTTTATCAAATTTCATTTCTGACAAAAATGGGACAACTTAAGATTACCTGCTTACATGGAAAAAACATTTTATTATTTCTGGAAAAGACTTTTAAACTTTTTCATTTGCCCAATTTCCAAACTGTGTGTGTGTGTGTGTGTGTGTGTGTGTGTGTGTGTGTGTGTGAGAGACAGTAATCTCCTGAAGTTTTTAATTCCCAAAAGATAACTACCATGTTTAGAAGAGACAGGATAGAAAATTAACATATCGGATGCACACAGAAAGAATCTACATTTCTCTAAGAGGGAGTTTCAGATGATATTTGCATATTAACAGAGGTCAATCTTCCTGAGGTGGCGGGCTAGCTTTTAGGCCAGTGACTAGAAGAGATCTAGCAGCTGTTTTTCTCCAAAGCCCTTCTAAATAGACAAAATATTTATTTCCACATAGTCTTATTTTATTTCTATCTTCAAGTGGTTACTTTAGAGGGGAGCTTGAGACCCTTGAGAACAAGGGACTCAAGGGACTGAGAGGCTGGAGTGGAAAAATGTCTGTCAGGTGTGGACAGAGAGATGGGGGAGGTAGTGGCTTGAAACGGGAGGTAGAGGATTGAAAAGGGATATATCAAGGATTCAAAAAGAAAAAAAAACTGAAGGGAAAATCCAAGAAGTCAAAAAAGAAGAAGAGAAAGCAGAAATAAATGGAAAGAAGAGGTCCTAGAGGAGCCAGTATGGGGAGATCTTAAGTTTCTCAAAGAGGCCAATGAATTTTTACATTATTATTGGCAAAAAACATTCCAAGAAAAAAAAATAGTAAACAAATAAGAAAAGGCAGAGCATATAGTTAGCAGGGGTTTGAAAATAGGATTTTAGTCCACTAAGAAGAGTTCATGGAAAAGCAGAATCCAACAGAAACATAAGGTTTATATACTTATAAATCTGAGTAGAAAATTATATATTCATGGTATTTAATGACAATTCTGAATTTCTGAATACATTTTTATATTATATACATTATATGTAATATAATCTTTTATATATGTTGTGTACAGTATAAGTATGATATATTTGATATATACATAGCCTGAATTTAAATATCAGCTTTCAGTTAGGCCAACTTCTGACCACAGAGCTCTTAAAAATAAGTTTCTCAAATATTTTATCATCAAGTTTCAGTCAGGACAAACAACAGATATTTCTAGAAGTATTGATCTCTTTTTTACCTTTTTTTGGAGACAGAGTTTCACTCTGTCCCCCAGGCTGGAGTGCAATGGTGCAATCTCAGGTCTCTGTAATCTCTGCCTGCCAGGTTCAAGCAATTCTCCTGCCTCAGCCTCCTGAATATCTGGGATTACAGGCACACGCTAGCATGCCGGACTAATTTTTGCATTATTAGTACAGAGAGGGTTTCACCATGTTGCCCAGTCTGGTCTCCAACTCCTGGCCTCAAGTGATCTGCCTGCCTTGGCCTACCAAAGTGCTGGGATTACGGGAATGAGCCACCACACGGGGCCCCTTTCTTTTTCTTTTAAACCAACAGTACCTGTGAAGTGACTCAGAACCCAAACCAATAAGCCTTTAATAACTTATCCTTGGACAAAAGAGATGTCCTTCAAATAGGATGCAAGGCAGGGTGTGGTGGCTCATACCTGTAATCCCAGAACTTTGCGGGGCCAAAGTGGGAGGATCACTTGAGCCCAGGAGTTCATGAACAGCCCCAGCAAGATAGCGAGGGACCACCTCTACTAAAAATAAAAATTAGCCAGGTGTGGTGGTGCATGCCTGTGATCCCAACTACTCTGGAGACTGAGGTGGGAGGATCACTTGAGCCCAGGAGTTTCAGGCTGCAGTGAGCCATGATGGTGTCATTGCACTCCAGCTTGGGTGACAGAGTGAAACCCTCTCTCAACGAAAAAAAGAAAAAAAAAGAAAAAAGAAAACAGAAAACAAACTGGGTGCAGAAAATAGATGCAGCCCTCCCAAGATTTAAAACCACTTCCAAAGAAAGCAAAAAGAAAGAAAAAAATCTTTGTTGCCTGTAAAATGACATCTCTCATCTCCTATAAAACATAGAATGCCTCTGGTCACAGATTACTAGGGTGAACAACTAACCAAGCAAGAAGGGTTGAGATGACAAACTCTCTTGAGAGCTGGTACTGCCAAACAAAAAATTCTTGGACTCCCAGCATATTCTACTGGCTGCCTGACACAAAACAATACTTGCACCCTCTAGCTGGGAGAGATCAGAAAGAATAATCTCACTGGTTATAAAGCCAAGCTCACAGGACATAAAATTAGATGAACAGGAAAGAGATAACCATCCCTGGGAGAGAAGAAAATCAGTAACTAATGGATCTTCTAAAACCAAATTTACACAAGAGTGACCTTTCAAACAAATGATTTTATCCTGCTACTCTGAATTTGGTAAGGAAGGGAAAGAAGAAATTTTCTGTTTCAACTGGACACCACTATCAGAGATCTGGGAGGGCTGACCTGGGTAAAAATTCTTACCTTTCTGTCAGCTTTTTCTCAGTTGTCGCCGGATCTCATCTGTAGGCTGCAGAGTGAGTGGGTGTCTGAGCTTCCCCGGTTTGGGTACCAGAAACCGTCGGGGATAAAAATAATATCTTTTCCTCACCAATCACAAGGCTGATGGCTGACACCCCCATAACAAAAGGCAGATTAACCAGAGAAAAGCATACAAATTTATTTAATATCAATTTTATATGACATGGGAGCCATCAAAATGAAGACTCAAAAAAATGGAGAAATATGTGTATTTTTATAGACGGATGTGCAGAGATAGGATTGGAGGACAGAAGGGTACGATCTATTGGTAATAAATTGGCAAAGCCTGTTTGTTCAGATTCTTCTTAGCATCACTGTGTGTCATTCCTTTCCCCTAGGTAGGGCAGGACACCTGCCACATGAAGGTTTTCAGGGAAGAAGGAAAAGAGAAGATCGGAGAGCGACCCTCCTAGGTTTTATGGGTTGCTTCAGGAAAAAGAATGAAGAGAAGGTGAATGTATCTTACTGCTTCCACTGTTTTCCCAAATGCCAAAGTACCATATTATGGGGTAGCATGTCCTGAATCCAATCACTGGCAGATAGTGGTCTTCTCCCTGCGTCTTCACGCTATCTTTCCTCTGTGTGTGTATGTGTCCAAATTTCCCCTTCTTATAAGTACATCATTCCTACCGAACTAGGGCCAAGCCTAATGATTTCATTTTAACTGAATTATCTCTTGAAATACTCTGTCTCAGGACAAAGGTACTAGGATTTAGGACGGTAACATATAAATTTTGGAGAGATGCAATTCAACCTAAAATAGTTTCCAACATTTTCTACTTACTCCATGTACATTTCTATGAAATTTTTTCTTCTTGAGTAAATAGGCTGAGCTGGAAAAAAGATGAAACCTCACTCTTTTGATTAGCTTATTAATCAGTTGACTTTGTGTTAATAAAATAAGAAAATTTTCTGAATGTATTTGACCTAATCAGGTGAGTTCTCTAAACGAAGGTGTAGTGTAAGACAGATACTCTCCTACTGGACTCAAAAAGAAGCAAACTGCTGTGTATGAGGGCCTATTGAGAGGGTTGCATGGCAAGATATTGGAGCTGAGAGTGGTTTTTAGGTGACAGCCAACAAGAAAACTAGACCTCAGTCACAGAGCCACAAGAAGAAACATTCTGCTAACAACCATGTGAGCTTGAAAGAAGACAGGAGCCTCAGATGAGATCAAATCCCTACTGAAATCTTGCTTTCACCTTGTTGAGAGCCAACTAATATGTATTCAAATCCTGTCACACAAAACACATGAGATAATAAATTTATGTTGATTTGAGATGTGAAATTTATGGTAATTTGTTTTATAGCAATCAAAAACTAATTAATGATCTAAAATGAAACACCCATTCTATGTGCACATATTTTTCTTCATAATTGATCCATTATCTATCAATAATAGATATTTTAATGATTAGATAGCATTGTTACAAATGTGTTATATCAGACACATGAGAATCTTAAGCAATACATTAAATATTTTTATCTCAAATTTCATTTTAAAAAAGAAAAATATATTGTGTATTTGTGTTAATTTAAAACTATGAAATAAAATGCTCAAGAGTGCAATATTTAAGACTTTGCCCTTTATGAAACTCAATTTTTTATCAGATGTTAGAAAACCAAAGAAAAAGGAAACATGTATGGAGAAAATATGTAGAAGTATATAGATAGGAAAATATAGAGGTATTAATTAACATTATAGTGGTATTCACATATACATTAAAACAACCAAGAATTAGGACTTAAAGATTCATGAGGCCAGTTAAAGACAGAAGGATGTGATTCAACATGTTACATATGAATTATTTTTAAAGCATGATGTGAGAATTCAATGAATAATAATATGAAGTAAACATCAAATTGAAAACAACCTTTGGACATTTTTGGCCACTGTGTCTCAGAAATTAGAAACAATATAGAATCTTTCCTGCTAGTTAAGTAATTGAATAAATAGGACCACATAAGCTTGAAGAGGAAAACAATATTCTCGTGTGTTTTTTTAAGAAATAATTCTATAAGATATGAAATTTCCTCGCCTATTCTCGGAGAACAGCTCTATGATACATATATGTTGAGCTGACTGAGCTGAGCACCATATGGAGGACTTACTATTTATTTATTAATGTTTTTTTTTTCCTTTGAGTCCCTATGGTGAGTACGCTTAAGTCCCTGCCACAATAAGGTGTTAAAAAAGCCACTCACCCCACATTTGCCTTTTGTCCTAACAAGAGAGTTCATCTGTACATTGAGGCACAGAGATATTTTATAGCTCCTTATTTAATGACTCAAATCTCTCACTAACCAGAACAATTAGCTCCTATTATTACAACACATTAATATATCTTCATCTTCCAAAAGTTCTGCATAATTACATTTCTACAAAATTGCCTATACAATTTGAACTTCATTCCTAAATTGATTTTTTTGGGGGAATGGGTGTTATTTTTTCTAAAGCAATGTTACATATTTTTTGTTTTATCTTTAATTTTATTGCCTTCTGTTCAGAGATTATTGGTGATAACTATGCAGATTATTATAAAGTTTCACAATTTAATATAATTTTGAAAGGATATTGCATTGACATTATGAATTTTTAGCATTATCTTAAATATAATAATGAACATATATGAAAGAATGACATATTATTACATATTTGATATTTCAACCTATGAATTCATTTTCAAGTCCTAAATTTTCCTTATTTTTGGTCAGAGACATAAATATGCATTATATTTTTCTATATTAATTGTAATTTTTCAATCTCTTTTTTGATTTTAAAGAGTATTATGCAAATGATAAACTTTGTTGTATTAACTACCTTTTGTTTCCTCTTTTTCTTTCTTTTTTTTTTTTTTTTTGTATTTTTAGTAGAGTCGGCATTTCACCGTGTTAGCCAGGATGGTCTCGATCTTCTGACCTTGTGATCTGCCCGCCTCGGCCTCCCAAAGTGCTGGGATTACAGGTGTGAGCCACTGTGCCTGGCCTCTTTCCTCTTTTACAGTCCTCGATTTTATATGTTTTTGCCCTAAATACAGCATTATCTCAAGGAAAGACTCTTATAATCAAACTGTAAAATACTCGCTTTTGGATTTTAAATGCAAGGGCCTAAATAAATAAATAAATATGTGAGGAGAAAATATGTGAAAGCTGGGAGTTCTTCTCTTCTGATAATAGAAGATGAAGATTCTCTTAGCTGGGGGAGTGAAAAGAACTAGTTAGAAATCAAGAGTTATACTCTCTTGAACTTCTATGTATCTTAAAGAAGGGACTTTGTAAATTTAAATTTTATCATAGCAGAGAAGAAAATACATATTGAAAACACAACCGTGTCTGAAGGATCTAAGAGAAGAGGGCCAATCTATTGCTGTTACGAAGGAGGAACTAAACTGTATAGCATACAAGCAGTAGTCGAAGATACGGCTCCACTTGTTATTTGGGCAGGAATACTTGGCCCCATATCCCCTCACCAAGTTTTCCTGTGTTCACTTTGACTGAGAAGCAACCAAATGACTCTCATAAGGTCAGGAGAGGTATAGAAGTAGCCAATGGAAAGGGATAGGCCTAAGAGAGCTTCATGTATGGTGTAAAAGAGAAGCTGCCATGATCTACTAAAAATCAGAGACTTTTTGAAAGCATAAATGTATTAGAAAAATCAGCACAGACAGGTGAAAAACAACTCTGGTAAGTGAGCTAGATGCCTGCATTGACTGAGGAAAACTTGAAAAGACTTCACTAAAACTGACAGATTAGGTTTATGATATCAGTGGAATAAGTCTCAAAGTAGGAATTAAATTCAGACATGAACAGATTATATATATATATATATATATATATATATAGCATTTATTAAACTCAGACAGACCAATATATATACTTTTACATGTATATTCACTTATATAAATACATCTATTTTTCATTTTTCAATTACATAAAAGGATATGTGTATGTTTAGTTTATGTATGTCTATATAAATATGTAAATAACCGCATAAATTACACTCTAGTCATTTTGAGATCTAAGATTACAATCAATGATATCATATAATTTATTTTTAATACAAAATGTATTTTTAATAGAAAAATTTAATAAATTGGCAGTTATCAGCATGGCTAATTCATCAGATGTTACTTGTATCATAGTGTGTAGAATGTCTTTTTTTTACACCTTCTGATTTTCATTAGTTTATCTATGTCTCTATAGATCATAATTTATTTGAATATATTTTTAAATACTTCTCATACATTCTACATACATATTTTGCTATTCTTAAAGTTGCTAAAATATTATTCTTCATTTTCTATTTTAATCATCAGTGATAACATTCTATCTTTTAAGCAATTTCTTATATATGAAATAAAATGAGAAAATACTTTTATTTTTCTTCACAACGTCTTTCTACAGTTTATTTCTACAATCTGAAATTTTTAGATGCTTATTGTTTTGAATATTTAATTTTATTGTTAATTATTTTTACTTTACTGCCTTTTTTCCAAATTTTATTTGACATGTGTCTAACTCTTAACAGCAATTATGTTATTTTGTATGTTGTTTTGCTTTATTTGCTTATCATCAGCCTTTTATCTATTTCACAGGGAAGTTGAGATGTACATTGATTGTTTTCTTCTTTGGAAATAAAGATAATACATTGTTGTTACTGTTTTGGGTGGCTTTTTTGTTTGTTTTGGGGTTTTGTTTTTTGTTTTTACAGGCTGGTTGTGTGCAAATCTCTTTCTTTATTATTAAAATTTATACTTACCAGATTTTCACTATGTGTATTTTTCTTCCAAGAAATTTTACCTAATAACTGGCTAGCTTTTTGAATGTAGTTGTATTTCCTTCAGCTTAAAGAAATAATATCTAGTATTTGAAAGAATTTTGCTAGCTGCTCTTATAATTTGCTGATTAAATTGAAGTTATATCTAAACTTTATTAACTATTTTATTCATTGAAGTTTGTCTTTCATGCTTTTTTATTTACAATAGTAACACATGGATATAATCTTGATAATAAAAAATTAAATAGTACAGATAAAATTAATGTTACTCCTTGATTAGTCTCAATTTCCAAACCATTCTCCTGTACAGAAGGTATTTTTTTAGTGAGAAGTTAAGATATCTAGTTCTTTTTTCTATATATTTATAATTACACATGGGCATGTTCACATGTACACACACACACACACACACATACACACACACAAGGGAGTTTTGATTTGTCGATTTTTCCCATAAATGAGATAAAGCAAAACAAAATGTTCGTCTTCCTTTTGTCAGTTAACATGTCTCTAAATTTTTTTATGTGAGTTTACAAGGTTTTACACATTTTTTAAAGTATTGCCTTATACTTTCTGGTATAGATATAAAACAGCTCAATATTGATAAGCATTCAGTTACCTTTAATTTTTTACTTTATAAACAATTATGCGAAGCATATCTTTTGACTAGGTTTGTTTTTCACCTCCAGGCATCTGTCTCATTCACAAGTATTATCTCAACATGTAACGCAGCGACCAAGAGACAGTAAGTACAACATGGTGTATGTAAATTATCAAAACCTTTGGAGTAGTTATAGCAATAACAAAACATTTATATGAATTTGACACATGCTATATACAAATGACTAACCAGGCCTGGCATGGTGGCTGGTGCCTGTAATCCCAGCTACTTGGGAGACTGAGGCAGGAGGATCACTTGAGCCTAAAAGTCCCAGGCCACAGTAAGCTATGATCACACCACTGCACTCCAACCTGGGTGACAGAGTGAGAACCTATTTCAAAAAAAAAATCAGTGGTGCTATAGAGATTCCAATGGAAAGCACCCTAAGGTGGTCGAATGATGTAAGTGTTTTCTGTTTGACAATAATATGACAGAAATGGATACTACATAATCATGTTTTTAAAAACATGATTAAAAATAACTTGAGTTCTTGAAGCACATAATTTGTTTTCTTCAAGATACAGGAAAACAATTATTTTTTGGAAGTTTCATGTGTGAACCAGAATTTTTTAGCTTAAAAAACAAAATCCAGGGTCATTTTCAATATTGTCTAAAGATAAGCAGAAATTGATACAGGGATCAATTTTCGATAATGACAAATTATAATATAAATATCGACCATGGAAGATGGTCAAAAGGCAGAAAATATTTAAGATAAGTATATTGCAGATGCTAACCGAGGAAAAAGTCATTTCCCGTTGACATTTTTCAAGTTTTTATTTCCTAGTTTTTCTAGTTACTGCTCTAAAATACGTGGTTTAAGCATTTTGACAAGGAAACGTAAATTAGCTATGAACTGTTGGCTCTCTGGAATGACACATTTGACCCTGGGCTATGACTAATTGGGACATATACCCATGGGCTCCAGGCAGCAGACATCTTGGCAGAGGCTCTGGAAGGCTGATGATAGTAATAAAAGATGCTGATGGACTAGGTCTTTGAGGTGAAAAAATGAAGGGAAAAGATATCAGGATTGAAACTCATTCACATATAATCATTCCAAACTCTCTCATTTATTATTAATTAAGTTTAGCATGCCAGCATCATAGTCCTCACATTCTTTTTTGCCTGAATGTTGCCGTTTTCTGTTTTTTCTTTGTTGTTGTTGTTGTTGTTTTTAAGATTTCCCTTTTTTCTCATTTTAGGCATATTTCAGTGGATTGGAAAGAAGGGGTGTCACAATTTGTTTGGGAGATGAATTGTGAATTATAGTTCTGCTTTGTCCATTGTAATTTTCTCAAGGTTGCATGACATAATATTACACTTTAGTTTTGAAAAGTCTTTGACTATGTTAGCAACATCAGAGCAATCAGTCAAATCCAACCCTCTTAAATATCTAAGTTTAGAGTAGAATTAGTATGATTCTCAGTATTTTATTATAACAGATATGAGAAAAATATTTTCAAGGAGACCAATCCTAATACAAGAAGAAATCACTCAACAAAATAATACTCTAGTCATTTTCATAGATTTATTCAGAGACTCTGTTAGTCTGCTCAGGCTGGGATATGGTTTGGATGTTTGTCCCCTCCAAATCTCATGTTGAAATATAATTTCCAAAATTGGAGGTAGGTCTTGGTGGGAGGTGATTGGCTCATGGGACAGATCCCTCATTAGTGGTTTAGCACCATCTCCTTGGTGAAAGTGAGTTTCCCCTCAGTTCACATGAGGTCTTGTTGTTTAAAAGAGTCTGGGACCTACCGCTTCTCTGTCTTTCTCGCCACGTGATATGTTGGCTTCCCTTTGCCTTCTGCCATGTTTGTAAGCTTCCTGAGCTTACGTGTGATATGTTGGCTTCCCTTTGCCTTCTGCCATGTTTGTAAGCTTCCTGAGCCCCTTGCCAGGGGCAATTGCCAGCACTATGCTTCTGTACTGCCTGCAGAACCATGAGCCGATTCAACTTCTTTTCTTTATAATTTACCCACTCTCAGGTGTTGCTTTATGGTAATGCAAATTGACTAGCATAGGCTGCCATAACAGAATACCACAAATTGAGTGTCTTAAAGCACATAAAATTAATTTTCTCACAGTTCTGGAGCTTAGAAATCCAATATCCATCAGGGTTGGTTTCAGGTAAGTTTTCCCTCTTTGTCTTGTAGGCAGACACCTTCTGGCTGTGTACTCATATGGCCTTTTCTCTATGCCTGCAGAAAGAAGGAGAAATCTCTGGTGTCTCTTCCTCTTATTATAAGGACATCAGTCCTTTTGGATTAGGGACCAATTCTTATGACCTCACTTAACCTTAATTACCTCCTTAAAGGATCTGTCTTCAAATACAGTTACATTGGAAGTTACAGCTTTAGTATATAAATTGTGAGAAAACATAACTCATTCCATAACAGAGATGATACTAAAAATATTTCACAATTAATAGATCATGACACCAACCACTCACAATGGGAAACAATAATGATCACAACAGTGTCATAAAAGCCTCAGTAAAGTCTCTATAAACGGATTTTTATTCTAATTAGAATTAGTTTATTAACTTTTGGTCTTACTAAACCATACACTAAGTCTGTTCAGTATCAGTAAAATTGTACCCACATTAACTCCTTGAAGGTAATATTTACTTCCACAAACTTAAAACTTACCAAGTAAAATACACAAAAAAAAATCTGTATGGGATAATAGTAATAACTATAATGCCTCTCAGCTGGATGCTACTATAATCTAGAACTAATAGCCATAGTCATCAAAATTATTATTCTTGGCTAAAGATTAAAAACAATTCTGTATATGCTCTAAATGCAATGCATACCATAAGAAAACTCTAGTTTATTTTCATTACCTGAACATCCAACTTTCCAATTACTGATACAGCTTACACTATTACTGCCCTTTAGAACAGGCTTTATAATTTTTCTTTTCTTGGGATTAAAATGATCATTTCATCAAACAATGTATTTTCTACTTAAGTTTTTTAAAAAATATGTTAACATTTATTTGCAAGATTAAGAAAAGACGCACATTTAAAAAAACAAAAAATTCATGCAAATGCTTAAATATCTTTTTCTACTTTAACATAGTGATGTTTCAGCTGACAATCTTAACATTATGTCTCCAAGAATTAAATCACATTTTCCATAAATCCTGATTGGAAATGCTTTCCTATTTAGAAGAATTTTTTTTTTTTTTTTTTTTTTTGAGATGGAATCTCACTCTGTCACACAGGCTGGAGTGCAGTGGCACAATCTCAGCTCACTGCAACCTCCGCCTCCCGTGTTCAAGTGATTCTCCTGCCTCAGCCCACCAAGTAGCTTGGATTACAGGCGCCTGCCACCACGACCGGCTAATTTTTTGTATTTTTTTTTTTAGTAGAGACAGGGTTGCACCGTGTTCCCTAGGCTGGTCCCACACTCCTGAGATCAGGAAATCTACCCGCCGTGGCCTCCCAAAGTGCTAAGATTACAGGCATGAGCCACCGCACCTGGTCTCAGATGATTTTAATAATAGCACAAATCTTCTCCTTTAAATCCCATTGACGAAAACTAAGTCTCTTGTCCATCCCTAGTGGCAAAAGAAAATGAGCATAGTGCATTTTAACCTTTATCTAACCATGGATTAGACAGTTGTCATATGCCATACTCTATGAAGGCAGGAAATATTATTTCTCTTAGTCCATGCAGCAACCAAACAAGAGATTTATTATTATCCTCATTTTATGAATGCTGTCTCATTGTCACCATAAATCACTGAAAGACAGGAATATTTTGTGATGTTGGCACCTAAAACTAACTCTACTGTAACTACCTACAAATCATGTTCCCAAACTTTGCCAAATTTTAAGTTCTTATTTTCAATTTAAAACATATGGTAACTACTTGTGTCTATTAGATACATTGTATGCTACAGACTGGAGGTGACATACTCCTTTATGGCTCTTATGAATGTCATGAAACTTTACTTCTATTTAGTTATAGTGTTGGAACTAGAATATGCCTTGTGGTGGTGAGAGTGGGGGTGGAGAACAAAGAAGAGAGAGAAGGAGGGAAAGAGGGAAGGAAAGATTCAGTTGAAAATTAAAAAAAAAAACTTACGATTCAATTAGATTTTTGTCTAATTTTGCTTATGGTGAGCCTTGAATAAAGGTATTAGCAAGGAAAGCCATTAAAAGCAATCTGAATTCCCTTAATAAATATTTTGAAAGTACAAAAATAGTGCTGAGCATATAAAATAGATATAATATTCAGAATTTAGTAATTACAAGAGGATTTGTCCTTTGAGATCAAAGTTCAATTTTCTTCTAGCTTTCATTCACTAGAAAACCTCTTATTTTTACAATATTAAAAAATTCTGATTATCACTAACACATTGATAAACCAATTTTTGAAGTAACCTTAGTTTGAAAGAGATGTCTTAACATCTTAATGTAATATATTTAAATTTCTGAGAAAAGAAATTCAGAATCCATTTTTAATTGCTAAAGGAAAATACTGCCATTACCTAGATATCAGTTAACTAAAAATATATATATATAGTGTTAAATTAATGTAGTGTATTATTAATTTATATGTAGGGAAACAGGTCTATTGTTTAATATCTTTTACTAAATTGTCTAAAGTACAATTTTATATCTAAATATAAACACTAGTATTTCTAAGTATATAGAACAATGCCACAAGTCTTATACTTCAACAACTGTTGCTCTACACAAACTTGAGAACAGTATGTTTTGATGGGAAGATGGTAGAATCTATAACCAGGTCTGAATTTTAGTTTCCACTCTTTGATCTGTTAACCTGATGGTACAGATTGGACAATTCTACATTTCCAATTGAGATCTTTATTTTATAAAACTATTAACAATAAAACTCAATATCTTAGTCAGTTTGAGCTGTTACAAAAAATTACGATAGACTGAGTGTTTTATAAACAACAGAGACTTACTAGGTTGTTTATAAACAACAGAAGCTTATTAGGTTGGTCATTAAAATGGCAAAACCACAATTACTTTTGCACTAACCTAATATTTATCACAGTTCTGGAGGCTGGAAGTCCAAGACCAGGCTCAATTCTGGTAAGATTCTTCTTCCATCTTAGAAGCTACTATCTCTGTTGGCATCCTCACATGGCAGAAAGAGAATAAGAGAGCTCTCTGTGGTCCTTCTTATAATGGCACTAATTTCACTTATGAAGGCTCCACCTTTATTACCTAATTACCTCTTAAAAGTCCCACTTTCTAATATCATCATAATGGGGATTAACGTTTGTGAGGAAACACAAACATGTAGTTGGTTACACCCAATAAGCTATCATGAGAATACAACAAGATAGGTGAAAGCAATTACTATATCCCTGACACTCAGATAATATTGATTTTCTTTCTTTCCATCAGATCACATGATCCAAAGACACTGATATCTCTAAAGACCTATAATTTCTTCATTCCTTTTGTTATCAATAAAGAAGAAAAAGGAAATATATTTTCTGATCACAGATTTTGTGGCTAGAATTATACACAGATTTAAACATTATATGTCTAAGCTACTCTGCAAACCTAAAAGAAAGACATTTTTTCCTACACATTAACTGAGATCTAAACACTTAATGAATTCTCCAATTTAGCCAAAAAGTGATCAAAGCAGGGTTCCTTTCAACCATTTGATTTCACCTCTAATTTCTGCAATTTGCATTGCTTTATCATCCAAGGAGTAGATCTGGTGATTTCTAAAGAATGGAAGAAAATACAAGTGCATAGTTACACTGGAGTAATGAGGATAAATATTCATACATACAGCATAATTTGAGGGAGGGGGAGGATATCAATAAATAAAATCTAGACATTTTTCTATCAGAAATGCCATATTTTATGTATTTGAAATGATCTAGAAATATTAAAATTGATGTAGCAATTGTATACTTTGTTAATTGTTTCCTTAAAGAGATACAGGACCAATGGAATAGGTAGTTCTTCATATCAAAATAAGATAAAATGCTCCCAATCTTGTATGTCTTTTGCAGGAATTTAGCTTGATGTTATCATTAAAATTCAATGGTCATTTCACCCTCAGAACATTAGTAAATGGACTGATTACTTTGATAACAGTAATAGCTGTTAGGCACTTCCTTGATAAATCTCTTAAATTTGGAGGACTTTGAAGCAAGCTTACTAGAAAGATACTGCACTGTTCCTTTATCTACAGCAAAATTTCTCCCACGATTTTTAAAATAACTCCACTAGGATTTAAATTTATTATTGTTCAAAGGATTTTCAAAATGCTGTTCCCTGAAAAGAGTGTGTTGTTAAATACATTTAGGGAAGTTTTGGTGTTTTCAACCATTTTGAAACAATTTTGACTCAGTAACTTATAAATAATTATTTGTACAGAATTTTTTACACAAATACAAATAGTTGCTTTTTATTTCTAGTTATAAATATAACATTAATACATGAGAGGAAAATGGAAATATATAAATTACATTATATGCAATTAAAAAATAGATTATTTACCTAAACACAAAAGCTAAAACTATTAAAGTTCAGGGGGAAAAAAAAAGAAAGGAAAATATCATTGTGGCCATGAGTTAGGCAAAGCATTTTTAGGACAGGATAAAAAAATACAAACCATAAAAGACAAAAAAAAAAAAAAAACAAATAAAAAGATTTAGATATCATCAAAATTTAAAATTCCATCCTTCAAATATATCATGAAGAAAACAAAAAAGGAAATAGACTCAGAAAATTTCACAATACAACTATCTGAATAAAAAGGACAACATTTTAAAAATATAAAATCATAGAAAACAATTACTGTTATGTTTGTTATTACTCTTAGAAAACTCTTAGAAACAACACACTAG